>NC_000013.11:72499015-72650530 GCF_000001405.40 Homo sapiens | reverse complement strand
GAATTATTGCAATAAGATACTCTATCTGGTGTTGGCAGTAGCTAAAAGTGCTGAGATTAAAAATGATACATCCTTCAATGCCGGGTTGTTTTTTCAGTTACATTACTCACAAAATAAATCTAAACAACAAATAGTCACTATTTGGTTTATATTTTCTAATAGGAAAAGTCCACGTGCTTTTGAGATTCTGTCTTAGCTTCAACTGCCAGGGGATTTATTACCTGTAATTGATGTACACGGAGATCAAAGAGCAGCTTCCTTACATTTTCTCCTATTCTTTCCACTTCGGAAGTCCAGGGGGACAATAACTCTTGCAATTCCATTGGAATAGGTGTAGAAGAATGAAATGAGCCTGGGTGAAGTACTACCGCAGTAATACAGGGTATTAGAAACATTTAAAAAATCCAAATAGATAATCTTATTTCTGGTTGACAGTTAATTCCCACAAGAAGAATTAATATTTTCATGATTTAAACATTAATAAAATGGAGGACAAACTAAGATTTGGAAAAATGTTTTAATCTTCCGAATTTAAAGGCACAGTGTTACCTTATTTTCTAAGTTGTGATATATTTACACCTTCCACCACTCTAAGTTATTAAACATTTGCACAGGCCATTTTATGTTGTAACTTGTCTTCTTAGGTACATGTCTTGTCATCTCAACTGGATTTTTGGGTCACAGAGGAAGAACCATGTCACAACAAATGCATAACATTGATACTATTATATTTTATAAAGTGTATAAAGAACTTGCATACCTTATTTAATCTTCATAATAATCTTGCAATGTAGTCAGATCAGAGATTATTATCTTCATATTGTAGATGAGGAAATTGAGGTCCAGAAATGAACAAGGGAAGTCTGCATGTATGTCAGAGAGGCAGTAGTTGACTTTGGTTCTTTTAGCATGTAATCCAGTACTCTTTCACATAACCTGAAGATAGGCACACTAACAAACCCCTAGCACACACAGATGGAATGCAGTGCTTGGCACATAGTAGACATTTAACATCTTGTTAAATAAATAAATGATAACCATCTCTGTTTAGCCCAGAGATACGTAGGAGGCACGAAAAATTTGCTATTTGTATTCATAACAATTACTTGAGTAGTAGATCATCAATTCCTGAGTAAATATGTCTTGTGGTCAAGAAAACGAAGAGAAACATAATGTCTTCAGTCTGGAGGAACTTTCATTCTAGGTGGGGACTGGAGGTGTTTTCATGACCAAGAGTCAATTTCCTTGATGCTAAATGAGGATAATAATCACAGCTTTATTTATCCCATCAGATTGTTGGGCAGATCAAAAGAGACACTGTATGTGAAGGTGTTTTATAAGTGCCAAATACACATGTGAACTGCTACGATATTAATACGGCAGTGCATGGTGATTGCCAACTGGGGGCAATACTAAATTCAGAGGCGAGAGGAAGCTCTACCTCAAGGGATGTGGGGAGTTTGGAAAGCATGATAGGAAAAGGTATTTCCGGGAAGCAGGGAGATAGAAGTCCCAAAAGCCAGAGATGGAAAAGAACAAGACGTATTTAAAGGTAAGTGAGCAGCTTGATTTAGGAGTGCTTATAGAAGGGAGCAAAAGGATTTATGCTTGGAAAGATGGGTTAGGGTGTATTTGGGGCTGCTTTGCAGTCTTGGTACCGGGTGAGGGCGTCTGAACTCAAATGTAAACATGAGGCTTATCCTGAGATCACGATTGCTTTCCATTTAGCTAATTGCAGATGAGGAAAGCAGAGAAGTTATTTAGGGAGCTAACCAAATTCCTAAAGAAAAAAATGACTCTCACGCACATGAGGGAAAGTTTAATTATTGTGAGAAAAAGTTCTCCAGATATTGCACAATATTAATAATTACTCTCCTTATTGTATGTGTGCTATATGTCTCACATTATTTTAAGGAAATTATTTACATTCACTCATTTAATCTTCATAATGGGCGAAACGATGATTATTCAACAGATGAGGTAACAGAGACCTAAAACAGTTAAATAATGTGTCCTAGGTCACATCACTAGGAAATTGCTGGGCGGTATTCAACCTCAGGCAGTATGGCTTCAGAGCCTGGCTCCAACCCTCTACTACACCGTCATGGTCCCCATGCATTAAGTCCAAAAGCACATCAAAAACTAGTGATATTGGGTGTGTTCACTGTGAAAAGTCATTGCTTTATTCACTTTTCATATGTATGTTATACTTTAATAATGACTTAAGGTAGTGATAATAAAAAAGTAAGTACTATATGTACCTGTAGAAGAAAAGATTGGAAAGATATACCCAATCTGTTAACCTGATTATCTTTGGTTATTAGGAATATTAATAATTTAAATTTTATTCATTTTACTTATTTTTATTTTCTAGATTTCTGACAATTATAATACTTTTGTAACAAGAAACATTGTTTTAAGCAAACGAGGCAAATTTTTGGTGAGAAAGAAACTAACATTGATTTAACAATTACTGTCAGTAATATCATATTTATTATCTGATTCTCAAAATAACCATCCAAAGAGTTTTTGTACTGTTTGTGGCTATTTTAGCAGAAAGTAAGTTTCAGAGAGGTAAATAACTGGCTCAAATAACACACAGCACCCAGCACATAACTAAAGAAGACAGGGTTTGAATCCAGGACTAGTTCTAAAAAACCAGGAAAAAATAAAGGACAGAATTTTGGACTGGAGAAAGAACTCTAGAAGTAAGGTTCTAATTTGGTGTAGTAAGACAATGAGACAATTAGGAGTCAGAAGCAATCATTTTGAAAAACTGTTAAATAGAAAGAAAGCAAAAAATAAGATTTTCTATTGCACAGAAGCCAGTACAGTTTGAAGTTTTTTGGCTCATCACTAGAAATCTTCTCCAAACAAAGCTACGTCATCAAATTTTGTGTAAATCCCTGGGAAATCTGACTCAAAGATACTGTTTATTCTGCAGGAAGTTTTTATTTTATTTTTTTTGGTTTTACCAAGCATCCCCACAGCATTCCCCGCCCCCCTTTTTTTTGGAAACAATGATGCTTCATTTTTGTAAACATTTTATAGTGACTAAATGATATTAGATGTCAAGCAATTTGTGTTACTGACAAATTTGGAAGAACTAAAATGACCAAAACAGTTAAAGCAGTTAAAGATTTCAAGACTTTTTTTTTTTTTTTCTGTAAAATTGGGCAGAGAAGTAAAGAGAAAGATGATGGACTCTGGTGAGTACAATAAAAAGAAGAAACCATTAAGTTCTCCCGTTTTAAAATAGACAAAACCAGAAACTCTCAGCATATGACCTTGGCCAGATTACTTGAACTCATTGTTCCTGTGTGAACCAAGCCATAAAACGGCATAAAAAGGTATCTCCCGGACAATGCAGACACTATATCTGACTTGAGGTGCTCCAGATAAATAAATTATGCCTTTACTAGTTGAGGCTGGGACAAAAAGGTGAATACAGCTCTCTGTAAAGGATGTTATAAAGGTTCAGCCTGTTTTCCTCCCACAATTTTTCTCTCCTATCCATGTGGCCATTTCAGTTTATTGCTGAGTTTTTAGTAGATTGTGAAGCTGGCTATGATAATAATAATAAACACTGATATTTTTTCTTTCAGTAGATAAGGGCATAGAAGGGCAAAACATGTTTTCTAAACGGTAACTTCATGGCATTTTTCTGCATTGGGGAACAAATAGTTCTGAAGTGACACTACATGTTCTATCTATTTTTATATGCCAGTAGTTGTGTTTTCTTACTGGAATCGCTGATATTACCAATGATGCTGAGAAAATAAAGGGCAAATTCAGGAAAGTACAAGCCGATAAGTTTGATATTAAATTCTAGAAAATTCCAGAATGTATGGTTAAACAAATGGTTTTTAGTAATCCTCAACAAAAACTACCTAAGAGGTTAGTGCTGTCAAACAAATGCTTGACGTTTTAGCAAAACACATGAGAGCCTCCAAAGATATTAAAATATCTTAATGACCCCTCTTAATGACCTTTCTTGACCAGCCTATTTAAAACTGTAATCTTCCCTAGCACTCTGTATTCTCCTTCCCTGCTTCATTTTCTCCTTAGTGCTTACTGGTATCTGACATTTTATTTTTTTCCTTCCTTCCTTCTTTTTTTTTTTTTTTGAGACCGAGTCTCACTCTGTTACCCAGGCTGGAGTGCAGACAGAGGAGCGATCTCGGCTCACTGCAACCTCCATGTCCCGGGTTCAAGCGATTCTCCTGCTTCAGTTCCCCGAGTGGCTGGGATTACAGGTGCTTGCCACCACGCCCGGCTAATTTTTGTGTTTTTAGTAGAGACGGGATTTCACCATGTTGGTCAGGTTGTTCTCAAACTCCTGGCCTCAGGTGATCCGCCTGCCTCGGCCTCAAAAAAGGTCTCAGGTGGATTAAGTACTTTAGGCTTCTGATTAACAAATCCTGGTTGAAAATATAAAAGGCAGGCTTAGAAAAATTTTCCGATGAATCTAAGCTAGGAAGAATACCTATATAAGGACAAAATCAAGCTTTAACATGCTACTGAGGGGCTAAAGTGCTGGATTCAAGTAAAATGTCTACATAAGAGAAAAAAATACAATCTTATATATCTAATTGGAAGAGCTGAATAATACCAAATAATTTGTTTAACTTTCCCAAACCTGGGTGTCTTCTAATCTGTAATAGATGCACCTGACTAGGCTTAAGTCTCTTGTAGGTAATGAGATTACTTCATCTTCTGAAGCTAAGTGACCATGTAGTTAAATTGGCAGCCAAAATGTGTATGTTACGGCAGTGAAAAAGTGAAGTGAAAAGGGGCGGAGGTGGCAGTCATGGGAGCTGAAGGGACAGGGGCCACATAAGCAGCATTTAGTGGAGACAAAAGAGTCAATTGTGGTTGAAGAGATGGCTGTGGCTCAGCAGGCAGAGATGGAACTACAGGTGGGGGACGTAGAGAAAGGAGAGAAAGAGAAGGCAATAGAGATGTCTTTTGTACTGGTCTCTGCGCTCCTAGGACATTTCTCCTCTCTTCTGATCATCTATTTCTGCTTTGATAGGAAGACATATTATCTGTGGAGAATAAAGCAAAACAAAACAAAAAATCCCCCAAATCTTGAATAAAGGCTGGAATGGGCTCCCACTAGCAAATCGAAACAACTGCTGTCAGGAAAGTTTTGTGCCAGTGCTTCAAAATTTAGATAACAAAACACACTTGCCAAGCAAGCTGGCACTTCTGTATCACAGCCACCACCTCTCAGGTGGAACACCATCAGACTCTATTTAGGTAGCCACTATATTGGTTGTATACACTAGTAGTTCTCAAGTTTTAATGCATCAGAATTACCCAAAGGGCTTGTTAAAACACACATTGTTAGGGGTCCCACTCTCAGAGTTTCTCATCCAGCAGCTTAGAGATAGGACCCAAGAATGTGCATTTCTAACACATTCTCGGTGATGTTAATGATGCTGGTCCAGGGATCACACTTTGAGAACCATTGTGTAGGCTGTGTTCAGCACCAGAGTGCTGGCTGTGGCAGCGAGAGGAGGATGAAATCCACAGGCTGCTTTCCCTGCAGCCCTGCTTTGTGGGTTTAAGGCACTCTTCTGTTTAAGTATGGAAAACAATATGAAGCTTACCATTGACATATCTGTTCCACCCCTTTTCAAATGGAAGAAATAGGCTCATTGAGGAGAACAGGTGAGGTGAAATGGGCTTTGGTTGAAATTCTCTTTGGTAACGATAGTACTATTTTTCAGCATAGAGAAAAGGAAGAATACTGTTGGCCTTTGGTTGAGAGATGCAGATTCTAGAGCCTACATTGACTCTGACAAGTTGTATGGTCTTAGACAAGTCACTTAACTCTGGATTCTGTCTTGTCATCTGTAAAATGAGAATGTCAGGCTAGATGATGTTTAGGATCTCTTCCTGCTCTTAAATTCATTTTGTATGATTCTAAGTCAGAAGAAATATTTACATAACAATGGAAAATTGACCAGTTTATCTTTGTGGCAATTGAATTGGTTTGGAGAGTTCTTGATTGGTGAAGGAAGGTCTTAATGGTTCAAATTTATTCTTAAATGAAATGCATGGTTTCCAGAGTGCATAGCACACAGTATTTAATAATATTCTACCCTTTCAGTTTCTTTCCTTTATCCCTCGTGTTAATAATTCTTTGACAAAATTTAAGTTCTTTTTGGCTGAGATCAGAAACTGTGTCATTTAAAAGAAATGTAATAAAGATTTAGACCCCTTCTTTGGTACCCAATCCCTTGTTGGTCTTGTTGTTTATCTGTTTTGCCACCAGATAGCAGAATTACTCTGGTTATAATCTTTTTATGACTTAGATGGGCTTACTTATTGAAAGCTCTCAAAGAAATATAGGAGAGGAAGTTCTCCTTACCTCATTATCTGAGGATGATTGATACCGGAGAGAAAAAGTCTTCTGAAAGTTAATCCACTTAAAAATGCTGGTTAGCCAAGCACAGTGGCTCACATCTCTAAGGGCCACACTTTGGAAGGCCGAGGTGGGCAGATTGCTTGAGCCCAGGAGTTCGAGACCAGCCTGGGCAACATAGCAAGACCCCCATCTCTACCAAAAAAAAAAATTAGCCAAGTGTCATGGCGTGCACCTAAAGTCCTAGCTACTAGAGAGGCTGAAGTGGGAGGATCACTTGAGGCCAGGATTTTGAGGCTACAGTGAGCTGAGATCACACCATCACACTCCAGCCTGAAAAAAAAAAACATCCTGGCAAAAGTCAGATTAGGAAAAAATGACTTGAGTGAGGCTTTATCTTAAAAAAGAAAATTAAGAATTATAAAAATATACACAATTGTTCTTACATTTAGCCAAATTTAAATTTTATTTTCAACTAAATATCGAAAGATGAATCAAATTTTTTCCCTGTTTTGGACAGAATTCAGCTTGTGCTTTGCTAGCTCAGCTCTGCCCCCTGGAGGAGGAGTTGCTATCTTGGTTTATTTGCATAGTGCAATCATAAAAGTAATCTTTGTAAAATTACTCAAGAGTTTTATCAGTTTTTGCAAGAGTATCCCTTAAGCCTTTGACATTTGAATGCGTCTCTTTGGAAACACTTGTGTCATCATACTTATTGATGTTTCTCCTCTCCAATTGTTGACTTGTTTAACTTTGTTTTGGTTACTGTCTTTGCATACAGTATGAACAGTTTTATCAAAGCACTTTCTTTGACTTCATGGAATCCTGGATCTTATGCAGGATATGCAGTTCTACTTTGTTGTTGATTACAAAAGTGTGTTAACTGAAATATGGAACTAGACTTTAAAGAGGAAAGGATTTTTTTTTTTAAAGGAAAAGCTTTATGTTGCATTCAGTCAGCCTAAAATCTCTCTCTCTTGCTAACAAAATTATGTAGGCATTCAATGTTTCTTTGTTTCTTTGTTTAAAGACATTTTCAAATTTGGTTTTGGTTTCATTTATCAAAAGTTTACAAAAGTATTACATGCCTGTAATCCTAGCACTTTGGGAGGCCGAGGAGGGTGGATTACTTGAGCTCAGGAGTTTGAGACCAGCTTGGGCAACACGGTGAAACCCCGTCTCTACTAAAATACAAGAAATTAGCCAGGCGTGGCTGCGTGCGCCTGTAATCCCAGCTACTCAGGAGGCTGAGGCAGGAGAATTACTTGAACCTGGGAGGCGGAACTTGCAGTGAGCCGAGATCACGCCACTGCACTCCAGCCTGGGCAACAGAGCGAGACTCCGACTCAAAAAAAAAAAAAAATATCCTGTATTTGTGAACTGTTGCTATAAGCATACTGTAAAAGAAGCCATCCCCAAATTCAGTGGTTTTAACACAACAATCATTTATTCTCATGGATTTGCAGGTTGTCTGGGTGTTAGCTGATATACAGTGAGCTTGACTGGTGTAGAAGGGATTTTTTTTTTTTGAGATGGCGTCTCGCTCTGTCGCCCAGGCTGGAGTGCAGTGGCACAATCTCGGCTCACTGCAAGCTCCGCCTCCCGGGTTCACGCCATTCTCCTACCTCAGCCTCCTGAGTAGCTGGGACTGCAGGCGCCCGCCACTACGCCCGGCTAATTTTTTGTATTTTTAGTAGAGACAGGGTTTCACCGTGTTAGCCAGGATGGTCTCGATCTCCTGACCTCTTAATCCGCCCACCTCAGCCGCCCAAAGTGCTGGGATTACAGGCGTGAGCCACCGCGCCCGGCCAGAAGGGATATTTTTAAAACATTTTTGATAATTCTTTAAAACATAAATTCATTAGGGAATATTTTTGTACTGTGGCATATATTCTTTCTATGAAATAAATTTCAACACTGCCTGGGTTCAAATCCTGGTTCTGCTCCATAAGAAGTATGTTATCATACAGAATTTATCTAATTTTTCAATGCCTTCATTTCTTCATCTATCAAATGGGGATAATAACAGCATTCACTTCACTGGATTTTATGAGGACTGAATGAGATAACAGATAATTGCCTGGCACATACAGAATGTTTACAAAATGTTAGCTTTTCTTTAAGAGAAAAAATATCTCTGCTTGTGATTAAAAGGCTTATGAGTTGGTCAAAGGGGGAGAGAAAAATCATGGAGTTAGAGGAAGAGGCAATATTTGAATTTCTCTGATCATATAAATAAAGAGAGCCAGCAGAACCAATATTTTACTGTATTTAATAAAACTTATACAGTGTCATTTATTATGTGCCAGACTCTTCCTAGGAGCTTACCAAATATTAACTTAATTATTATATCAACCCTTGGAGATAGAGATGATTATTATCTCCATTTTATAGATGAGAAAACCCTAGCACAGAGAGGTTATAAAACTTCCTCAAGGTCACACAGCTAATAAATGACAGAGCTGAGGTGCAAATGCATGGGAGTCTGGAGGCAAAGTGTGTAGTTTTAGGTCATGGTGCTTTTCTATTGCAGGGAGCAGCACAGAGGAGGCCACGCCAAGGTGTTATATTGTCCCAAATGTACTTATTTGATTTATATGTTATAATTTTTAAGATTTGACTTTATTCTTCTAAACCTGAAGATTTGAAGCAATCTTCTTTTCTGTGATCATTTTGTCATGTGCTGTACCCCCTATCCATATTTCAGGATGAGAAAGAGATTCCATGAGACTTAACTACAGGCTGGTGGGGAATCACTTCATGAAGGGGTGGAGAGGGGGAGAACTGTCTTTCCTGGGTTTGCTGACTTCTCATTCTTCTTAATACAAGGAGAAGAGTCAGGATCACTATATCAGTTATTTTTGCTTTTCAGTAATAGAATTTTTATTGCTAACTTAAGGAATATGGAATCAGTGAAAACAAACTAAGTTTTTACATCTAACTCTATCCTGTAGAGAGAAAACACACCATGCTAATAAATCTTCTATATTACAAATATACCCACACAGGCAAAGGATGATGTTTGTAAATCTAATTACATTGAATTTCACTTTTGTACCTTTTTGGGAGCATGGTTCAGGCACGAGGAACATGCAGTTCTGAAATGCTGTCCCGTGGGTCAGCATTACAGGTACAGGTAATTGGAAATTTTAGTTCTGAGATTATGACTTATAATAAACTTAATTGAAGCTCTAAAATGCTCAGCCACATAAAACTGCAATTGTCATGGGCAGGCTGGTGAACATGCGTAGTGATGCTCAGTATTTGAAATTATGTGTTTTTATTTGGTTTTGTTTGTATCTCAGCTGAAGGAGCTTTCTTTGATCCAACAAAGATAGGGTGGTTTTTATTAAAAATTTAACACGTATCTCACAGCAATATTTACTTTAATGTGGTAAATCAAGAAATTCTTCTATTTCTGAATGAGATATGTTGGTAAGATAAACTCAATGCTGTAAAATAAATATTAACTTTGTAATGAAAACTACAGAATACCTTATCTGATACATTGTATCTGCATTTCTCTAAGGAGATGAGACATCCATGCTTCTTGCTCTACCTTGCATGAGAGGTAATGGTTTAGATTTTAATCCTTAATTATCTGTCCTAGCTCACTTTATAGTGACATCTCATCCTGTGTATTCTTCAACTTCTAATTTTAAAAATATTGAATATGTTTGCTCATGCAAGAGACTAGCTGATGTGAGAGTTACAAAAGCACCATCAGGCACTTTTACATGCAATAGTCCATGGAGGAAATGCTAATGTCGGTAGGCAAAATTCATTAGTTGAAAAGGAGATTTTGAAAGTTTTAAAGTTAAAAAAAGTCTTATAGGAACTCTGGTGAGCACAACCTAAAATCCAATTAGCAAATGTCAGAGTGGAGTTCAAAGGACATCTGTGATAGTTTTGATAAAGTTACTGCTCTGGAAAGAACTGAGATATACTACTCCTCGCCACGGTGATTGTTCACGTGTGGGTACCTTCACTCAGTGGCACCAGTTATGAATCCTGTAAGTGACCTATTAATAACTGTAATACGAATGAAATGTGCTGCCTAGAAAATAAGGTTGCCTGGCTCTCATAAAATACCATTTTCTTTTCATAATTTACGGGATATGTTGTCCAAAGAGATGAAGTATTTCACGTTGGTCAGTTGTGCCTCTGCATAGGTCTAATACCATGTGGAATATTTTTAATGGTTGACTGATAAAACATTGTTTCCTGCAACTCAGCCCTTTTGTGATTGTAAACATCAAGGCTACAGACACAATTTCTTACCTGGTTTACCTCTCCAGTAGTTACAAATACTATTAGAGACTCAAATAAAGCAAGCAAACAACTTTCAGTATGTGCAATTAATGTGTGAAAAATTCAGAATTAAAAGGTGTGGCCCTTGCTTTCAAGGGGCTGATAGTCTTGGAAGCAAAAAATGAAGTCCCTGCAATAATTATGTTAATCAACCAATCCTATCGATTTTTACATATGTAACGTATATAGGGAATCATCCTCAGAGAGAAATAAGTTTCTGATTTTCCCTCAGGGTTCATGTGTTTTTAGTTAGGTTGGTGCAAAAGTAATTGCGGTTTTTGCCATTACTTTTAACGGCATGAACCTCGAGGTTGATCATATGATCAAGCTTTTAACATTCTGTATAAAATAATATTGCAAAAATTCTATTTGGTATCCTCCATGTGTTTAGCCTTGGTCTCCTTTGACACACACCATGTGCTTTCTGTCTAGGATATTTGCATCTCCTTCCTGGGCAGGGCAAACCTGCACCTTTCCTGTACCTAGCCTATGAGAGTTATGACAAGGGTGGTTGAAGTCTTAGAATAAGATAAAGACAGACACAGATGAGCACATTATGTGCTCTCTTATCATGGCTGGATTTTAGGTGGGGACAGAAAGTGAAGAGATTTGGGCTTGCAGATTAGGCCGCAGGATAGTGGAGGGGGCTGGGTGCATGCATATGGTGATATGGATGATCATCAGACTGCAAGCCATCCTTTATTGTGGTGCTTTGTTTATGTTTCTATCTTCCTTACCATACCCTGAGTTGTTCTGGGTGAGAGGGAATATAATTGTCATCTGTAGGTCAAAAAAAGGTGGACTATCAGCAATCACAAATGATTCAAACTGAATCTAAGGTACTGCTTGAGATGGTGACAGATTGAATTTTTCCCACCACACTCTCCCCTTCCTAGCAGTATGACCTCAGGTAAGTCTGTTAATCTGTATGAACCTTATTTTCTATACTTATAAAATGGGATAAAGCATACACTTCCTCATGGAGCTGCTGGGATTATTAAATTATTAATCAGTAATGAATATGTATTTGTGCCTGGCATACAATGAATACGCTGTAAGTAACGTCTATGACATCTCTTATTCTTTCTGCTTCTGAGCCTACCACCCTCCCCTGCTTGTACTAGGCGCTCAGTAAAAGTTTGTTGGATGAAAAACAGCCACGATGAAACCTATGGTTATGGTAAATGCCCAACAAATACTTGCTGCATGAGTGAGTGGTTCTTGTCCTAGATCAAATGGCCCAGAGAACCACCTGGGAGTTACTCATCTCAAAGTTAGCCCTGAGAATTCTAGCCTGCGGGAGCTCCACTTCAAACAGGGATTCTCATGAAAAGCAAATCAAAAGTGAATTTGAAAGAGAGGCAAAATACATTGTTTCTTATTAGGCTTGCTGTTTGATTTTCATTAGGCATCCTGCCTGATTCGTATTAGGACTGCCCTGATTTCTTTTGGTCCTGGTCACTTAGGGTCAGTGCTCATGTGCTAATAATGATGTCATTATTTGATTTTATTACATACATGATACAGGTAATGATTCAGGGTTTATTCCAGAAACTAATCCTAAGCACCTAATGCTGATTGGTTTAATGATACAAAAACTAATTTGGAAAGAATGGAAGGTTTCCTGGGGCACAGCTGATGATGTGTATGTGAAAAGCCTTCATTTCCCCCATTTAAAGAATGGAAACAACATGCAATTACATGTTCTTCGATGAGGTGTTTTCTTTGAAATGGTAGAACTTGGAAACCATCCATATGAGAAAGGTGGAAAAATTTAAGTAACTGTGCCAAGATTCGTTTTCCTTTTTTATTTCCTTTATTATTGTTATATTTATTCTTGGCTATAAATATATGCTTTCTCATTTTTCTCCTCTTTCTTTTAATATGAAAACCTAATGGGGAGACTGATGAGATTGGCCAAGTCTGTGAAATTAAAATGAACTTTGTAATTATGTTTATCAGCTTGGGGTCAATGACATAGAAATTCTGTAAGCTATAAATGTAAATATGAACATGAATTCCATGTGCTGAATTCATTCATGCAGAAGGCGGGCCCATTCCTGCTCTCTGCCATCACCCACCTCCCACCAGTTAACAATTAGTGAGTTAAATAAGCCACCTTGGGGTTCTTTGTGTCTGTTTTACTCGGCACCATGTGGTGCTTATCCAAGCTCTTTAAGAGAGATTTGTGCTTGGATCTGATCCGTGTGATGCATTAAGAAAGATGAGAAACTGGCCATTTCTTTCTTTTAATGTGTTTCCTTACGATGGGATGGAGTAGGAGAGCACACAGATTGACCCCAGTCACTCACCGTAGGCATCATTCAAGTACTAGCTTCACTGACTTGAGCTTAACTTGAGCCTTAATTAGGTGAGCAAATTACCCACTATCTCTGTTATTTTGATTTTCGAAATCACCTTCATCTCACAATCCCTGATTTCTACCCAATCGTAAGTCCACTGCTTGCACTTACCTATTCCCGACTGTCTTGCTAGAAGTTATTTAATAATTAGGAAAATACTACCTCTTTTGACATGTATTCTCTTTCCTTTCAATGGTAAAAATTTCATTTCTTAACCATTTTTGAGGTTTTTTTCATGTTTATTTTCTCCATCAAGGTTCTTTTTGAACCTGGAAGGGGAGATCATAAATATGGCAGTTAAAAGTAAGAACATGAGCTCTGTTTCTTCTCTTTTCTAAGGGAGGCTCTGTCTGGATCTTCTCTCTCCTGTTTTTACCGAACTCCAAAATGGCCTGTTCCCCCAATTTCTTATTCCCTCGTCACTGTTTTTGAAGTTTGGCATTCTATCTCTATTTTTCATTGTCAAATATTAATTTCCCCCAATTTCTGTATCTGTTCTTAAGTGCTATGAGCCAGAAAAACAAAGAACACAGTGAGCATAAGGGAAGGAAAGAAGAACTGAGTCCCGGGACTGAGCTCAATCCCTGAGCTTGTTACCACCTTGCTGGATATTTTTGGACCAGCTGTGACCACTCATGGCTCCCAGTCCTCATGTGTAAAATGAGGGGCTCAAAGTGGAGCATCCGGGGTCATTTCTATTGATATTCAATAATTTTCTCATCTATAAAATGGCCAAATGAATAGGACTTGCCTTATATCAACTTAGGACTAAATTAAATCATATACACAGACACACATATACATGCATACATACATATATATGTACACACATACATGCATACATACATATATATGTACACACATACATATATATACTTTTAACATGTCTGCAACAGGATAAGAGATAACGAACTCAACAGCAGAAAAACCCTGAGATAGAGCTAATTGGGTATATTCCTCTGTCCAGTCCTGTTCACAACTAAAGTTCTTTTCTAGTAAAGGAGAAAGTGAGGGAGGGGAGGAGAGGCCTGGGTCAGGGAAGAGAGTCCTTAGGCAGGTCCCTGAGTCCCCAGTATTCTTCTAACCCATTCATCTTGGATCAGATCAACAAAAGTTTCCAACTAAGCAGCAGAACCCTCAAATCACTGCCACTTATCCTGTCCCCCCATTATGTAAGGCAGAGTGGACAACTCTGATTATCAGGAAGCAGCAAGCAGCAGCTAGAAAAAGGTTGGATTTGGATTCTGCAGCCAAACCCTGGAACAACCCAGCTAGCTCTGCAGGCTCACTCAGTCACTTGATGAACCTCATAATAACACAACTCTGCATTTGATAAATTTCAAGTTTTAGACCCCATTTATCATATTTAATTTATATCTGGGTGTCTTATTCCATTTAGTGTTGCTATAAAAGAATACCTGAGGCTGCGCAGTTTATAAAGAAAAGTTTATTTGGCTCACAGTTCTGCAGACTGTAGAAGAAGTATGGCATCAGCATTTGCCTTTGGTGAGGGCCTCAGGCTGCCTCTACTCATGGTGGAAGGTGAATGGGAGCCAGCATGTGCAGGGATCACAAGGGAAGCAAGAGAGAGAAGGAGGTGGTGCCAGGCTCTTTTCAACAACCAGTTCTCATGGTAACTAACAGAGAACTCACTCACTCTCTCCCACCTCAGGGAGGGCATTCATCTATTAACAAGAGATCTGCCCCCATTACCCAAACACCTCCCGTTAGGCCCTATCTCCAACATTGGGGATCAAATTTCAACATGAGTTTTGGAGGGGACGAATATCCAAACTATAGTCCTTGGTGAAAGATGAAATAAATACATGAACAGAGAAAGTTGTTATATATTCCCTACATCAAAGGCTCTAAGCTTAGATAGCCTCTTCATTATTGTTTTCGTGTCTGGTTTCTTAGATATAGTATCATTCAAGACTATTTTGGTTCCAAGTTATAGAAGTCTAACTCAAATTAGCTTAAACCTTAAAGGGAATTTATTGGCTCAAATATTTGAAAAATCAGGCACAGCTACATTCAGTGACTCAAAAAAGGTCAGATAGAGCTTGGCCTTTTTTTCTTCTCCTTTTCCATATCCCTTGTCCAAATCTACTCTTCTATGTTAACTGGAATTCCAGACAAAAACTTGCCTGTGGCAACCCCTTAGTAAATTCAGGCCTACACTCCACTAGCTTCAAATCCAGCAGATAGAGAACTTTTCTTGCAAAAGATTATTTCTCACTGGACTGACTAGGGTCACATGCTTTTTTTCCCCATGCAGTCAGTTCGTCCAATCCAGTCACTACCCAACTCCTGGGCTGGGGTCAACCCTACCTCAACCAAATGGGCTTAGGTAGGAGTAGGTTGGTGTTCCAAAAGGAGATTGTTCTTGTGACATGGTCCTTGCAGAAGGGCAAATGAATGCTGAGCAGGCAAAAACAACAGATCTCTTTACTGGGATTCAGAGATTTAAAAAAAGAAAAAAAAAAGCTTTCAATTGTTCAGCTGAGTATTCAGAATAAACCCTAGTTTCTAGCTTAAAGCCTTGCAGATGACAGCATTTAAAGTGACAATTATGAACACAGAAATATGTTTATGGTATAATAAGTAGAAAAAAGTAGAAAGCAAGCTTTATGTTCACAATGGTCATAATGACACAAATTAAATATGGAAAGGAAATTTAAAATATGAAAATACTTATTTTAGTTTAGATCAGAATGTTTATAGATGATTTTTCATTTAAAAAAGATCTTGAATTTGGCCGGGCACGGTGGCTCACGCCTGTAACCCCAGCACTTTGGGAGGCCGAGGCGAGTGGATCACTTGAGGCCAGGAGTTCAAGACCAGCCTGGCCGACATGGTGAAACCCTGTCTCTATTAAAAATACAAAAATTAGCCAGGCGTGGTGGTGGGTGCCTATAATCTCAGCTACTTGGAAGGCTGAGGAAGGAGAATCCCTTGAACCTGGGAGGCAGAGGTTGCAGTGAGCCGAGATCATGCCACTGAACTTCAGCCTGGGCGACAGAGCAAGACTCCATCTCAAAAAAAAAAAAAAAATCTTGCATTTGTCTATACGGTTTTCAAAAAAAAAAAAAAAGAAGAAGAAGGAGAAGAGAAAGCTCAGTGAATGAAGCTCAGTGAATGAATGAAAGTGTATCTCATTAGATGGAAATGTGTTTGTGTGCAGTTCATCATGACATCATGACAGTGGCCTTCAGTGTATTAGTAGTAGCTTTGAGAGAGAACCCCGTGCCCTTCATAGCACAGTGCCTGGGTCAAATGTTCTGCTTTCTCTCATACTGAAGACTGGCCCACCATTTCACTGAATTTAGACATTACCAAGATATTATACTTTTATTCAATCTTATCAGATATTCATCCTTCACATTTTCTAACCTTGATGTTCCTCTTTTTGAGTTCTGTTTTCTCCCACAGCATAGAATTAACTTACCCAATTCTTTTCTTCTACCTTTGCCCCAGAGTTGCACTGCTCAATTGTAAGTTCTTTATTAGGGGCAGTCATGGGACAGGCAAGTTAGGATCAGAATGGCACCTCAGCAATGCCACCAGGTTCCCAGGCTCTCTACATTTTCCCATTCTGCTGTCCCAACTTATGAGTTGTACTTGGAAGCCAGCCTATTAAGATTTTAAAAAGTCATTTGGCTATTTATTTCTATTTAGGTTTCCTGATATTACCCACTTTAAAGAAAAAAAGAGTATGAGTCAACTAATTTCATAAATAAGACTTTCCTCATGAGGTCAGGAGTTCGAGACCAGCCTGGCCAACATAGTGAAACCCTGTCTCTACTGGAAATACAAAAAATTAGCTGGGCATGGTGGTGGTTGCCTGTAATCCCAGCTACTCAGGAGGCTGAGGCAGGAGAATTGCTTGAACCTGGGAGGCGGAGGTTGCAGTGAGCCAAGATCATGCCATTGCACTCCAGCCCAGGCAGCAGTGTGAGACTCCATCTCAAAAAACAAACAAACAAACAAAACCCGAAATTAAATTGCTAGGATATTTTTCTTTATTTTGAAGTTAATTTTGTAATGTAATGTATTCCTTTTTCTTTCTGTTCTGTCTTGGGTGGAGAGGAAGAAGAGTGTATTATTGTCATTCATAGAAGAGTTCTTAAGGTTTGTTATTACATGTTGTCTCTGCGTTATCATCTTCATGTTGGTTTTTAGCCTGTATTCTTTACTTTTCAACTTTTATTTTAGAATCAGGAGTTACATGTGCAGATTTGTCACAAAGGTATATTGCATGATGCTGAGGCTTGGGGTATGATTGAACCCATCACCCAGGTAGTGAGCATAGGTAGTTTTCCAGCCCTATCCCCTCTTCCTCTCTCCTTCCTCTAGTAGTTCCCAGTGTCTATTACTGCCATCTTTATGCCCATGAGTACCTGATGTTTAGCTCCCACTTATTAGTGAAAACATGCAGCATTTGGTTTTCTGTTTCTATATTGGTTCTCTTAGGATAATGGCCTCCAGTGGCAACTGTGTAGCTGCAAAGGACATTATTTCATGCTTTCTTATGGCTGCATAGTATTCCATGGTGTAAATGTACCACACTTTCTTTATCCCGTCAACCATTGATGGGTACCTGAGTCAATTCCATGTTTTTGCCATTGTGAATAGCATTGTGATGAACATACAGGTGCATGTGTCCTTTTAGTAGAATGATTTATTTTCCTTTATATATATACAGGGTAATGGGATTTCTGGATCAAATGGTAGTTAAACTCTTAGTTCTTTGAGAAATATCCAAACTGCTCTATACAATGGCCGGACTAATTTACATTCCCACCAACAATGTATGTGTCTCCTTTACTCTGTAGCCTTGCCAACATCTGTTATGTTTTTAGCTTTTAACAAAAGCCATTCTGGCTGGTGTGAGATGGTATCTCATTGTGGTTTTGATCTGCATTTCTCTGATGATTAGTGAAGATGAGCATTTTTTCATATGTTTATTGGTCACATATGTCTTCTTTTGAGAAGTGTCTGTTCATGTCATTTGCCCACTTTAATAGAGTTATTTGTTTTTTCCTTGTTAATTGTTTAAGTTCCTTATAGGTTCTGGAATTAGATCTTTGTCAGATGCATAGCTTGAATATTTTCTCCCATTCTGTAGGTTGTCTGTTTCTCTTGCTGTGTAGAAGTTCTTTAGTTTAATTAGGTCCCATTTATCAATTTTTGTTTTTGTTGCAATTGCTTTTGAGGACTGAACCATAAGTTCTTTGCCAAGACCAATATTGAGAAGGGTATTTCCTAGGTTTTCTTCTAGGATTTCTATAGTTTGAGATCTTACATTGAATTCTTTAATACATTTTGAGTTAATTTTTGTACATGGTGGTAGATAGGGGTCCAGTTTCATTTTTCTGTATACGGTTTATGTCCTTTACATATAGTTACTCTCAGGGATTTCTCTACATCCTCATCTACCCTCAAAATCTATCTTTCTGGGTTTAGATGTGATGCTGCTGCTTTGGTAGTTATTTTTGTATTTTTAGCTATTTTTTATTTTTAATTTAAAAAATATTTTTAGTTTTTTATTTCAATAGGTTTTTGGGAAACAGGTGGTATTTGGTTACATGAATAAGTTCTTTAGTCGTGATTTGCAAGATTTTAGTGCACCCATCACCTGGGCAATATACACTGTAACTGATGTATAGTCTTTTATCCCTCATGACCCCACCCTTTTCCCTGAGTCCCCAAAGTCCAATGTATCATTCTTATGCTGCTGTGTCCTCATAGCTTAGCTCTCGTATATGAGTGAGAACATATGATGTCTGGTTTTCAATTCTTGAGTTACTTCTCTTAGAATAATAGACTCCAATTCTATCCAGGTTGCTGCAAATGCCATTATGTCACTCCTTTTTATGGCTGAGTGGTATTCCATTTTCTTTATCCACTCCTTGATTGATGGACATTTGGGCTAGTTCTATATTTTTGCAATTGCAAATTGTGCTGCTATAAACATGTGTGTGCAGGTATCTTTTTTGTATAATGACTTCTTTTCCTCTGGGTAGATACCTAGCAGTGAGATTTCTGGATCAAATGGTAGATCTACTTTCAGTTCTTTAAGGAAGCTCTACACTGTTTTTCATAGTAGTTGTACTAGTTTACATTCCCACTAACAGTGTAAAAGTGTTCCCTTTTCACCACTTTTCATCTTTTTTTACTTTTTTCATCTATGCCAACATGTATTATTTTTTGATTTTTTGATTATGGCCATTCTTGTAAGAGTGACGTGATATTGCATTGTGGTTTTGATTTGCATTTCCTTGATAATTAGTGATGTTGAGCATTTTTCCATATGCTTGTTGGCTATATGCTGTGCAGAAGCCTTTTCGTTTAATTAAGTCTCCTCTATTTATCTTTATTTTTGTTGCATTTGCTTTTGGGTTCTTGGTCATGAAGTCTTTGCCTAAGCCAATGTCTAGAAGGGTTTTTCTGATGTTATCTTCTAGAATCTTTATGATTTCAGGTCTTGGATTGAAGTCTTTGATCCATCTTAAGTTGATTTTTTGTATAAGGTGAGACATGAGGATATAGTTTCATTCTTCTACATATGGCTTGCCAATTATCCCAGCACCATCTGTTAAATAAGGTGTCCTTTCTCTACTTTATGTTTTTGTTTGCTTTGTTGAAGATCAGTTGGCTGTAAGTATTTGTCTTTATTTCTAGGTTCTCTATCCTGTTCCATTGGTCTATGTACCTATTTGTATACCAGTACCATACTCATGTTTTGGTGACTAAGGCCTTATAGCATAGTTTGAAGTCAGGTAATGTGATGCCTCCATATTTGTTCTTTTTGTTTAGTCTTGCTTTGGCTATGCAGACGCTTTTTTGGTTCCATATGAATTTTAGGATTTTTTTTTCTAGTTCTGTGCAGAATGATGGTGATATTTTGATGGGAATTGCATTGAATTTGTAGATTGTTTTTGGCAGTATGGTCATTTTCACAGTATTGATTCTACTCACCCATGGACATGGGATGTGTTTCCATTTGTATGTGTCATCAGTAATTTCTTTCAGCAGTATTTTGTAGTTTTCCTTGTAGAGGACTTTCACTTCCTTGGTTAGGTATATTCCTAAGTATTTTATATTTTTTGCAGTTATTGTGAAAGGGGTTGAGTTCTTGATTTTATTCTCAGCTTGCTCACTGGTGGTGTGTAGCAGAGCTACTGATTTGTGCATTAATTTTGTGTCCTGAAACTTTGCTGAATTTATTGACCAGTTCTAGAAGCTTTTCAGATGAGTCTTTAGGGTTTTCTAGGTATACAATCATATCATCAGCAAACACCGACTGTTTGACTTCCTCTTTACTGACTTAGATGCCCTCTATTTCTTCTCTTGTCTGATGGCTCTGGCTAGGACTTCCAGTACTATGTTGAAGAGATGTGGTGAAAGTGGGAATCCTTGTCTTATTCCATTTCTCAGGGGGAATGCTTTCAACTTTTCCCCATTCAGTATGATGTTGGCTGTGGGTTTATCATAAATATCTTTTATTACCTTAAGGTATGTCCCTTCTATGCCTATTTTGCTAAGTGTTTTAATAATAAAGGGATGCTGGATTTTTTCAAATGCTTTTTCTGCATCTATTGAGATGATCATGTGATTTTTGTTTTTAATTCTGTTTATGTGGTGTATCACATTTGTTGACTTATGTTAAACCGTCCCTGCATTTGTGGTATGAAACCCACTGGATCATGGTGGATTATCTTTTTGTTATGCTGTTGGATTCAGTTCACAAGTATTATATTGAAGATTTTTGCATCTATGTTCATCAGGAATATTGGTTTGTAGTTTTATTTTTTTGTTATGTCCTTCCCTGGGTTTAGTATTAGGGTGATACTGGCTTCATAGAATGATTTAGGGAGGATTCTCTCTGTCTGTATCTTTTGGAATAGTGTCAATAGGATTGGTACCAATTCTTCTTTGTATGTTTGATTGAATTCAGCTGTGAATCCATCTGATTCTGGACTTTTTTGTTGGCAATTTTTAAAAATTACCATTTCAATCTCACTGATTGTTATTGGTCTCTTCAGAGATTCTGTATCTTCCTGGTTTAATCTAGGAGGGTTGTATATTTCCAGGAATTTATCACCTCTAAGTTTTCTAGTTTATCTGTGTAAAGGAGTTCACAGTAGACTTGAATAATCTTTTTTATTTATGTGGTATCAATTGTAATATCTCTCATTTCTTTTCTAATTGAGCTTATTTGGATCTTCTCGTTCCTTTTCTTGGTTAATCTTGCTAATAGTCTATCAATTTTATTTATCTTTTCAAAGAACCAGCTTTTTGTTTTATTTATCTTTTGTATTGCTTTTGTTTGTTTCAATTTCATTTAGTTCTGCTCTGATCTTTGTTATTTCTTTTCTTCTGCTGGGTTTATGTTTGAATTGTTCTTGTTTTTCAAGTTCTGTGAGGTGTTACCTTAGATTATATATTTTTACTCTTTCAGACTTTTCGATGTAGGCATTTAATGCTATGAACTTTCCTCTTAGCACTGCTTTTGTTGTATTTCAGGGGTTTTGATAAGTTGTGTGACTACTATCGTTCAGTTGAAAGAATTTTTAAATTTCCATCTTGATTTCATTGTTGACTGAATGATCACTCACGAGCAGGTATTTAATTTCCATGTATTTGCATGGTTTTGAGGGTTCCTTTTAAAGTTGGTTTCCAATTTTATTCTACTGTGGTCTGAGAGAGTACTTGACATAATTTTGATTTTTTAAAATTTACTAAGACTTGTTTTGTGGCTATCACATAGTCTATCTTGAAGAATGTTACATGTGCTGATGAGTAGAATGTATATTCTGCAGTTGTTGTGTAAAATGTTCTATACATATCTGTTGTCCATTTGTTGTAGGATATAGTTTAAGTCCATTGTTTCTTTGTTGACTTTCTGTCTTGATGACCTGCCTAGTGCTGTCAGTGGAGTATTAAAGTCCCCACTCTTATTGTGTTGCCGTAGTAATTGTTTTATAAATTTGGGTGCTCCAGTGTTAGGTGCATATATGTTTAGAATTGTGATACTGTCCTGTTGGATTAGTCCTTTTGTCATTATATAATGTCCCTCTGTGTCCTTTTTAACTGCCATTGCTTTAAAGTTTGTTTTGTCTGATATAAGAATAGCTACTCCTGCTCACTTTTGCATGGAATATATTTTTCCAACCCTTCACCTTAAGTTTATTGGAGTCCTTATGTGTCAGGCAAGTCTCTTGAAAACAGCAGATAGATACCTGGTTGGTGAATTCTTAACCATTCTGCCATTCTGTATATTTTAAGTGGAGCATTTAGGCCATTTACATTCAATGTTAGTAATGAGATGTGAGATACTATTCTATTCATTGTACTATTTGTTGCCTGAATACCTTGTTTTATTATTATTTTTTTTTCATTGTGTTACTGTTTTATGGGCCCTGTGAGATTTATGCTTTAAGGAGCATAAATCTATTTTGGTGTATTTCAAGGATTTGTTTCAAGATTTAGAGCTCCTTTTAGCAGTTTTTGTAGCGCTGGCTTGGTAGTGGTGAATTCTCTCAGACTTTGTCTGAAAAAGACTATCTTTTCTTCATTTTGGAAGCTTAGTTTCGCTGAATGCAAAATTCTTGGCTGATAATTGTTTTGTTTAAGGAGGCTAATGTTAGGACCCCAATCCCTTTTAGCTTGTAGGGTTTCTGCTTAGAAATCTGCTATTAATCTGATAGGTTTTCTTTTACAGGTTACTTGATGCTTTTGCCTCACAGCTTTTAAGATTCTTTCCTTTGTCTTGACTTTAGATAACCTGACGACTATTTGCCCAGGCAATGATCTTTTTTGTGATGAATTTCCCAGGTCTTCTTTGAGCTTCTTGTATTTGCATATCTAGATCTCTGGAAAGCCAGGGATGTTTTCCTCAATTATTCCCTCAAATATGTTTTCCAAACTTTTAGATTTCTCTTCTTCCTTGGGAACATCAATTATTCTTAGATTTGGACCTTTAACATAGTTCCCAATTTCTTGGAGGCTTTGTTCATTTTTTAAAATTCTTTTTTCTCTGTCTTTGATGGATTGGGTTAATTTGAAAATCTTGTCTTTGAGCTCAGAAGTTCTTTCTTCCATTTGTTACATTCGATTGCTGAGACTTTCCAGTGCGTTTTGCATTTCTCTAAGTGTGTTCTTGATTTCCAGAAGTTGTGATTGTTTTTTATTTATGCTACCTATTTCACTGAAGAATTTTCATTGCATATCCTGTATCATGTTTTTGATTTTTTTTTATGAGATGAAGTATCGCTCTATCACCCAGGCTGGAGTGCAGTGTCATAATCTTGGCTTACTGCAACCTCCACTTCCCTGGTTCAAGTGATTCTCCTGCCTCAGCCTCCTGAATAGCTTGGACTACAGGTGCGTACCACCACACCCAGCTAATTTTTGTATTTTTAGTAGAGTTGGAGTTTCACCATGTTGGCCAGGCTGGTCTTGAACTCCTGACCTCAAGTGATCCACCTGCCTCAGCCTCCCAAAGTGCTGGGATTACAGGCGTAAGCCACCGAACCCAGGCATATTTTTGATTTAAGTTGGGCTTCTCTTTCCCTGGTGCCTCCTTGATTAGCTTAATAATCAATCTTCTGCATTCTTTTTCTGGCAATTCAGAGATTTTATCTTGGTTTGGTTCCATTGCTGGTGAGCTGGTATCATATTTTTGGGGTGGTAAAGAACCGTGTTTTGTCATTGTACTAGAATTGTTTTTCTGGTTCCTTCTCATTTGAGTAGACTATGTCAGAGGGAAGATATGGGATTCAAGGGCTGTTGTTCAGATTATTTTGTCCCATGGGGTGCTCCCTAATGTGGTGCTCTTCCCCTTCTCCTAGGAATGGGGCTTCCTGAGAGCTGACCTGCAGTGATTGTTTTGCTCTTGCAAGTCTAGCCACCCAGTGGAGCTACTGAGCTTCCAGCTGGCACTGGGTAGTGATGGCAAAGAGTTCTGTGATTTGATCTGTCTTCAGGTCTTGCAGCCGTGGAGACTAGCACCTGCTCTGGTAGAGGTAGCAAGGGAGTGAAGTGGACTCTGTGTGGGTCCTTGGTTGTGTGTTTGTTCAGTGGTCCAGTTTTGTGTTGGTTTGGCCTCCAGCCAGGAGGTGGCACTTTCAAGAGCACATCAGCTGCAGTCCTATAGGGAGGATGCAAACTTGCCCTAGGGACACCTGGTTAAGTATTCAGGTTTCTCAGTTGGTGGACAGGGCCATAGAGCTCCCAAGAGATATTGACCTTTGTTTTTGGCTACCAAGGCAACTAGAGAAAGACCACCAGGTGGGGGCAGGGCTAGGCATGTCTGAGCTCAGAATCTCCCTGGGTGGGTCTTGCTGTGGCTGTTGTGGGGGATGGGTGTGTGGCTCCCAGTCCAGTGGAGTTATATTCCCAGGGGGATTACGGCTGCCTCTGTTGAGTCGTACAGGTCATCAGGGAAGTCGGGGAAAGCTGGCAGTCACAGGCCTCACCCTGCTCCCACAGAACCCACAGTCCTAAAAGTCCAATATCACTTCCACTGTGCCCTCCCAACAGCACTGAGTCTATTTCCAGGCAGCTGGTGACCAGGGCTAAGAACTTGCCCCAGACCACCAGCCTCCCTGCTGAGAAGGCAAGCAGACTCACAGTTTTTTTGCATCTCAGGAAGCCTGCAGAAGTGATCCAGTTCCTTCAAAGGGTCTGTGGATTCTCTAGGCTTTCCTGGTATGTTCCTACAGTAGTTCTTGAAGCAAAAGTTCACAGTGTGAGTCTTCACACACTGCTCTCTCTGTCTGATGGGGAGCCGCAAGCTAGTCCTAACTCTTATCTGTCATCTTAATCTCTGTAGTTATTTCTAAACTGGGCTCCACTACTTCCCCAGATGTGTGATCATGGCCTAGTTACTTATCAATCTGGGTTCTAGTTTTTCCAGCTCTAAAATGGGCATGATTATGTCTGCTTTTTACGATTGTTGAGGGTTTTGAGTAAAAGAAATTATATTGATCATAATACATTGCTTCTATTTGGCCTATAAAATGATTATTCCATGTTGTTCAATCTCATATTTGGAAGGTTTAAGCACAGTGCCATAGGTGTTGGCTTCATAAATGGCATTTGTTATAGTGACAGTGGGAGGGCTCACATAAAGTTGAGGAAGATAAGGGGTCTGCTTCACAGTTCCAAATACATAAAACCTCTATATGGTTCAATCCATGTGAAATAGGACAGTTCACCCTGGCTGTAGGCCAAATTGAGGCAACATTCAGTGGTTAGCAGCTCATAGCAAGTTGGAAGGTGCAGGGTAACCCTTGTATGGAATGGGGGAGCATGCAGTCTTGGATGGAAACCTTGAGTGGTAGACGAGAGCCTCAGATGAGATATTTCTTACCATACCTAAAGCTACAGAGGTCTCCCAAGGTTTCTCACCACGGCGACATGATGGCCAAAAGTTATCTTAAGGGCCATTCATGTGCATTTATACCGAAAGAATAACAGGGGGAGGTGAAACTTTTATAGTTCTTGTACTGCACAGATTCATTAGATTGAATTTGAACGGAAGTAACAGTGAAATACAATTAGTAACTCTGTGTGATTCAGAGAGAAAAATTTGTGAGCAATTGCACATAGAAAGACTAACACCTCCCCAATTTTAACATGCCAGCATCAAGATGGAAGTGAGCTGTCCAGAATGAAATGAAGAAGGGAACAGTACCAGGTAAATAAGCAAGAGCAAGACTTGGAAAAAGAGGACCAGGCCGGGAGCGGTGGCTCATGCCTGTAATCCCAGCACTTTGGGAGGCTGAGGTGGGTGGATCAAGAGGTCAGGAGTTTGAGACCACCCTGGCCAACATTAGTCAGGTGTGGTGGCAGGCGCCTGTAATCTCAGCTACTCAGGAGGCTGAGGCAGGAGAATTGCTTGAACCCCTGAGGTGGAGATTGCAGTGAGCCAAGATCACACCATTGCACTCCAGCCTGGGTGACAGAGCAAGACTCTGTCTCTGGGAAAAAAAAAAAAAAAAAAAAGGACCAGGTTCAAGGACAGAGATATAACCTGAGCCTCTGCTGGTTAGTGCTTCGCTAGTTTCCCAGAAATGAAGGGTCGGTCTTTAATATCACATCCACGCTGTGGTGATGCTTGGGTTAACTTTTAATGATATAGACATGTGCAATTAGCTGTTAGGTAAGCTCTTTGTGGGTTTTGTTCCAAATGACTATAGCTTTCTCTTAAGATGCTGTTTTGAAAGAAGTAGACTCTACAGGTAAACTCAGCTCACATTTGCAGTTAATATCCTGGTATATGTTCAATCTATGTTCTTCTGCCTCTTTAAAGGACTTCTCAATTCATTGACAAGTTTCAGTGACTAAAGTCTAAAGCCAAGAGTTATAATAGTGATACATACCTGCAACTGTGACTGTCAACTTGCTATTAATGACTAAGCAATCATGAATAGCAAGTTGCTATTAAACAGTCATTAATAGCAAGTTGACAGTTTTAGGTGCAAGGATGTATCTGGGCATAGACTTAGGGGCACTAAGAAAAACATGGATGGATGGTGGACACTGATGAGGACCACAGGGTCTCCCAGGTGATGGAAGCTGAGAGTCCCTCTTCCTGTCACCTCTCTTTATCCTCCGAGCCTTCTTAGGCAAATATTTCAAAAATGAAAGGAGAAGAAGAGGGACCCAGAGAAAAATATCCTCTTTCCCTTCTTTTAAACACCTTTGATTTACATTCTTCTTTTTTGAGACAGAGTCTTTCGTCACCCAGGCTGGAGTGCAGTGGCATAATCTCAGCTCACTGCAACATCTCCCTCCGGGTTCAAGCGATTCCTGTGCCTCAGCCTCCCAAGTAGCTGGGATTACAGGACGTGCCACCATGCCCGACTAATTTTTGTATTTTTAGTAGAGATGGGGTTTCGCCATGTTGCCCAGGCTGAGCTCAAGTGATCTGCCTGCCTCAGCCTCCCAAAGTGCTGGGATTACAGATATGAGCCACAGCACCCCACCTCTAATTTGCATCCTTCTGTTTAGTAAATAACTTTTGCCTATACTTTATTTGACCTGCACACATGTACAACAACCCCAAAAGATAGACTGGATGAAAATCATTAATTCATGTGACAGATAAAGTAACTAAGCCTCAAGAAAATTTAGCGATTTGCTTGAGGTTGAGCTCAGTTTGTAACTTGGGTCTTCCATCCCCCAATATATTTCTGTTTTCACGAAGGCATTTTATTCATGTGCATTATTTGACATTGAATACTCTTTTTGTTACTTTGTGCTATTGATGTCTATTAAAAGGAAAATTGGAATCTGGGCAGTGGAGCAATATAGGATTAGAAATCAAACAATATATGTCTAATTAATTCAATGAATACTTGATTAATATTTGGCAGTTGCATTTTCATTACAATATAATTAATTAGAATTTCTAGATAAACAACTTCACGCAGTTGCTATGAGAATTAAATGTGATAATGTATGTGAAAGTGTCTACCACAGTGACTGCCAGTTAGAAGGAACTCAATTAGTTGAATATGAATTCTTATCAAGACTAATTTTCATGAGGATTTAATTGAGGTGAAACTTTACTCTTTTGTAGAGAATTAAAAATAGAGAAGTACTATATAATGCTATCATTAGTTAACAACTAACTTCTGAAAAGCAAACCTCAGGATTTCATAGTTGGAGTACTAGTTCTGAAACGGTCTCCATCTGTTTGGTCTTGTCCACACTGGAAACTTCTGGATGAATCATCCTAAAATCCTATTTTTATTACGTTAATCATGTGACTAAGTTTCTAGGCTTCCCAATACCTCTTACAACAAGTCTAACATTCTCTTGATTTTAATTTACCTTTATGATCTAGCTTCTTCTAATTGTTCTAAACTCTATCTCAAGTTCCTCTTCATCTAGACACTTGAAACTTTAGGCCTACATTTGGTTTCTTTCTTTTCCCGTTACATTTAGTGTTTACTTAATGTTAGTCTATATTGCTTAAGAATTACTTCTTTTATTTGTTTGCCTTTCCATCTTAATTACAAGCACCTTTAAGATAAGGTCCCCATGCAATATTCTTTTGTTCTTAACAGTCTACAGCAGTCCTAAAAATATAGTAGTAGCTCAGTAGATATTTACTACAATAAACTGAATTGAACTGGACTTTACTAATGGGATTTTATTTTGGGATATTTATATAAACTTGCACAGAGCTGTCACCAGGTGGTGGTAAACGTGGAAAAGCCACCCAACCCTTAACTTGTTCAATAAAATTCTCTTTACATAATTTACATATAACTTTAAATTATGACTTTATACTGCTTCCTTATTTTTCTTATTCTTCCCCAGTTTTTTGTTTTTTAAATTGAAGTACATTCTGATTAATACCAACGCATTAGCAATAGTGCAATTTTTGTGGTTGGAGAAGATGCTGTTCAAGTTTTTGAGAATTAGAGATACCACAAGAACATAATTTTTGGTAAAGGTATTTTAGGTTTAAGGTATAAAAAGAATGCCAATCTCATTTTTTTTTTCTTTTAAAGAGGAGCATGCTACAAATATTCAAAACTCTTGCAAAATTGGGAGCCAAGCAAGTCGGTCATCAGCTGTGTAGAAAACTTACTATGGTGTGATTTTTGGTGAAATTTTTGTCGTTGGTCCTTTTCAAGAATATTTATTTAAATCCCAGTAGAAATCATTGCTCATCTGAAAGGGAGTTAACAGTCCTAAATAGCCTCTTCTGATTTGATTGATGTTTTTGTCTCTTTCTTTGAAGTAAATAGGTTCATTAACATACCAAATATGCTATCTGTCCTTTTACCTCTCCAGGCACTTAACTGACCACTCACTTAAGATCTAAATATCTCACCTACGTTTTTGTTGTCAGTTCAGGGTCAATCTTTCCAGACAGAAAAGGAAAGAGCTTTAACTAGTTAGCTGGTGAGTAGTTTCTAAACAGAAGAAAAGTAGTTTTCTTTGTAATAAAATCTAATCTGTCAGGACTAGTCATTTATTCTGCCTCTACAGTGTGTAAAATGCCAAGATAGTTGAGCTTATTGAAATCAGTGTGTACTTGGTAAAAAGAGAGGAAAAAAAAAAAGAAAAGAAATCATTGGGAAGTGGTTAAATTGTTCAAGAAAAAGTATGGAAAAACTCAGGAAAAAGAGATGAAAATAATTATTGAAACTAAGGCAAGACATGCCAAAGTCAGTAAGTCTGAGTAAAAGATCTATTTATATGTATTCTTCCAGTGTGTAAATGAATCCTGGAGAGACATGTGGAGTTGTGGTTACTTTTTCAGGCCATTAAAGTTCATAGTTAATTAAAGGGTATGAAGTAGCCTGAATGGGATCACTCTTGGGACAGTCCCTATTCTTTCAAGAAAGTAGGATGCCATTCAGTCATGTTAGGGTCAGAAAGAAACCAGAAGAATGCCACTTCCTCAATTTAATATACGGTAAGCCCTCACTTAATGTTGCCCATAGGTACTTGGAAACTGCTATTTTAAGCAAAATGACTTACTTACCAGAGGCTAATTGATATAACAAGAGTTAAGTTGCTACGTCATATTTCTGGTCACAAAAACATCACCAAACTTCTAAATAAAGACCCAAAACACTTCTAAAATTAAACATTGAAATATATGTGAGCCATACATATGTTTTAAAAAGATAATAAAAGCAAGTAAGATAATTAATTATCCCAGTTTTGGTGACTCAGTGAGTGATGGTGGTGGTCTTGGTGGTGGGTTAAAACAAGAAAAAAATGTTTGAAAAGAGAACATTGTCAGGAGCACCTCCTCCCTCTACACAATTCACAAGCAAACATTAATATGCCATGGAGGCCTCGCTGAGTGCTTTCGTATCACCTTGTTTATTGTCGTGCATTAGTATGATTACTGTGAACATGATGAATATTTATTTTATAATAATTTTTATTTATTCATTAACTCCTTTTTCAAACCGCTTACCCCCAGTTCAGGGTGGAGGTGACCAGAGCCCATTCTATAAGCTCAGAGCACAAGGTGGGCACCAGCCCTGGACAGGACACCATCCCATTGCAGCAGGTGCACTCATGCACACACCCACACTCACTCAGACTGCGACCAGATACACAGGCCAGTACACTTAATGGGCACATCTTTGAGATGTGGGAGGAAACCGGAGTACCTAGAGAAAAACCCATGCAGACATTGGAAGAATGTGAAACTCCACACAGACAGTGGCCCTGGTTGGAAACTGATTTTTTTTTTCCTCATTAAGATTATAACAAAACAGCATTGGAGGAAATGACATTATGCAAGGACCTGTTGTATTTCACTCTTCTTGCAAGTTCCTTTTTGATTAGATTTCATGGAAAATCTGAGTATGTTTGCGTCTTTGTGATCCCAGTCCATGAAACAGTGATCAGGAAGGGGATGTGGATGAGAGTGAGGGGAGATGAGTAGCAGAGTGGATGGACCTAATGAGACTGTGATAGTTTCCATGGATTTCGATAAGCTTTTAATCTTTGATGACTTTGGTTGTGGAGAAACAAGGCTGAATTCATTTACTTGAAGAATTATTTACAAAATGTTTCTTAATGACATAAAACACTTAAAATGCCCCAAGGCAATTGATTTGAGTATTTTTTTAATTAAAGAGAATCATAGTGGTATGTGGAACCATGTACTTCAAGTTAGAAGTCGTTCATTTCCAGTTCTGACACTCTCTGAGCCTGTTTTCTTTTTCAGTAAACAGAGAAAGAAAAAGGCTATGAGAAGGATTTAGTGAGATAGCGTAGTACATGAAAACATTTTATAAATGATAACTTACCAACAAAATACAACTATTTTAAAAAGTTATCTTTGAAATAATAGTAAATGATTTCAGACTTGCAGAAAAGTTGCATACATTAGTACAAAGAATTCTCATATTTCCGTAATGTTCACATTTTTCTGCATTTGCTTAATCATTCTCTCCTTTCCCTGTCTCTTTCTTTTTTTTTTCTTTTCTTTTTTTTTTTTTTTTGAGATGGAGTCTCACTCTGTCGCCAGGCTGGAGTTCAGTGGCGCCATCTCAGCTCACTGCAACCTCTGCCTCCTGGGCTCAAGCGATTCTCCTGCCTTAGCCTCCTGAGTAGCTGGGGCTGCAGGCGCGTGCCATCACGACCAGCTAATTTTTGTATTTTTAGTAGAGACGGGGTTTCACCATGTTGGCCAGGGTGGTCTTGATCTCTTGGCCTCATGATCTGCCCACCTCAGCCTCCCAAAGTGCTGGGATTACAGGCGTGAGCCACCATGACTGGCCTGTCCCTTTTTTTTTTTTTACATCTCTCTCTCTCTACATATATGTATGTGTGTGTTTTATTCAAAACCATTTGGGAATAAGTTGTGGGCATAATACCTCTTTCTCCCTAAATGCTTCTGTATGTATTTCCTAAAAACAAAAACATTAACTTATATAGTCACAGTATATTAGCACAATCAGGAAGTTAATGGTTGATACAGCACTATTATCTAATTTACAGAGCTTATTCAATTCAAATTTTACCAATTGGCTAACTGATTTCTGAAATTTACTACTATCAAATGGCTAGCAATTTTAGAAATATGCATTAACATACATGAAATTTCTGATAGAGAAAATGGAAAGAAAAACAATAAAGAAAGTTTGAAAGTTTTACTATGTGAATAAAGTCTGCTTCTTTTCTTTTAAAAAATTCCTTCTGAAAATGCTGTCTTCATCTTTGCATAGGTTGCTATTTGAAATAATAGCATATATTAATAATAATACTGGCAATAGATCTGAATATTTTTTAAAAACTTGAATAAATACTATTATTACTTAAACCACAATAACTAGCATAACAGACAAAATATATTAATTTAGGCAGAATACACTATGAAAGGAGAAACATAGAAAGTAATTTTGGGAACATATGCATTTCTACCAGGTGATACAGACTTTAGGAAATAAAATAATTCAGTTGAGTCAATTTGTACAAAGACCAAGAAGGAAAATATGATGCTAAAATGAAAATTGAAGGAAAACAAAAACAAAATAAGTTCAAATAACTTACTTCACTAAAGCAGATGGTGGATGTTTTTAGGCTCATAATAATAAGTGCTGTATAGAAATGAACATCTTTATCAAATTTGAGAGTCATGAAGTATATTTATCCCTGGTCAAGTGCATATAGGGGCAACAGTACACAACAAATCATATAAATAGGCAAAATGATAAATAAATAAAAAGGAAATATCCAGATACAATCTAAGCCTAAAATACTTTGTTAGACTTTAGGCATTCCAGTACCAATAATTTGAAGAAAAATTGGAGCTAGGCCAGGAGAAACAATTGTGATGATTAAGAGAAGGAAAGGATTAAGTTATAAGTAAAGATTTAAGTAGACAAATATATAGCTTGGCAAGTAATGACTACGGAGTATACTATAAGGTTCTACAAATATTTGAAAGTTAAAAAGGTGATAGTGGAATTATTTAAAATGATATAAAAGAGTAAGTTACCAGGAGTAATTTAGGCAGAAGAACTCTTTGACATTGAAAATCATTAGTTTTTGGAAAACTCTTCTAATAGGGAGTTAAAAGTACCTATTGTTTCTGAGAATTTGAAACTAGAGAGAAAATGATTCTTGATTGTGAGTAGTTGTTTTCAGGCAAGTGGAAAGACCGATCCTGTCATTTGACTCCCCATCTATTTCCATGAACAGAAAAGTCAAAGATATTAAATCTAAGATGGGCGAATGTAGTGTCTGCCAATTATTCAAGAGCTCATGTTAATCACGAGTGCCCCATAACATTTTTAGATTGTGCTACATAATTAATATCTGCATTATATACTGACTTCAGCAGTTTGTTATCTTTTATTTTGGAGAAAATGGTTGGCTTAAGGCTTTATATTTTCATTCCAAACAGAGGTTACCAGTGTTGGATCTTAACACTGGTTGATCCCATTAGGATCTCAATATATACTTCATTAAGTGGAAAGCTATATTGGCTTTCCAAGCAGTGTGTTTATATTTGAATTGATTCCAGAAAAAATTTGAGGTGCTTACTTGTTTCCACTTCTGATTTGGAATATTTTGTTGCATGTATAAAAAGACTTTCCCCCTGTTCTATGTTTGTCATCAGCTGGTTGCCAAGTAAAAACGTCTGTCTCAGTCATTCCATCCTTTCGATTCCTATTTCCACTGTTTCCATTTAGTCCCTTATCATTTCCCATGCAAGAGCTAACACTCTATTTCACTGTGTTGTTTTCTTTCTTCTATGCCTCTACTGCCTTGCTGCCAGAGACATCTTTCTTAGTGTCTTTTGTTGGCTCAAAAATATTCAGTGGATCACCAATTGCCAACTGGACAAAGTTTAAATTGGTTCATTTGAGTGCTTTCAGGATCTGTCCTCAACTTACTTTCTCAGGCCCATCTCCAGCTACTTCCAGCGCTTCCGGTCCCCCCGAGGGCCACACAGCCTTTCTCACACCTCTGCTCGTGCTGTTTATTTGGCCTAAATCCTTCTCATCTTCCATGGCCCCATGCAGATGTCACTTTCTCTCGGAAGCTTTTCTTGAATGCTTCAGGTGAGATTAATTATTCAATTCTTTATATTTCTTGTAGCATTTATGTCACATATCTAGATCAAATTAGTTGTGTGTTTTCTTTTTTTTTTTTTTCCCATGAAAGTACAATTGCCTTGAGGACAAAATCTGGATCTCATTCAACATACACAGTCCTGAACATATGGCCTTGTACATAGGTCTCAACTATAGTAGGTCCTCAATAAGCTTTTATAGAATGAATGAAAAGACAGAATGGTTATCATCTTCATGGGGAAGAAATTCCAGAAGCAAACAACATGGCAGAACAGTTGTGTTTTTCCAACTATTCTGTATTTTCCTGAGCTGTCTAATAGAGCAAGGTATAATACAAAATTTTTCTTCGAATAACTTAGGTTTCCTTAGAATGTTTCCAGATTTGACCTAATTCAAGCAACACGAGGATGTAATATCCGTTTCCATCCTCTGCCACCCTGATTCCTTAGCCATGTGCTTTTCTTTTCAACTATTATCACCACTAGACACATTACATATTATTATTACTTGTTAATTATTTTCTTTTTTTTTTTGAAATTGAAAAGTAGTAATTTTATTTGATATTTTTGTTAGATAACAAAAGAAACTAAAATACTAATAGTCTGTTTAATAGTCTGTTTTTTAATATTATTATTATACTTTAAGTTTTAGGGTACATGTGCACAATGTGCAGGTTAGTTACATATGTATACATGCGCCATGCTGGTGCGCTGCACCCACTAACTCGTCATCTAGCATTAGGTATATCTCCCAATGCTATCCCTCCCCCCTCCCCCCACCCCACAACAGTCCCCAGAGTGTGATGTTCCCCTTCCTGTGTCCATGTGTTCTCATTGTTCAATTCCCACCTATGAGTGAGAATATGCGGTGTTTGGTTTTTTGTTCTTGTGATAGTTTACTGAGAATGATGATTTCCAATTTCATCCATGTCCCTACAAAGGACATAAACTCATCCTTTTTTATGGCTGCATAGTATTCCGTGGTGTATATGTGCCATATTTTCTTAATCCAGTCTATCATTGTTGGACATTTGGGTTGGTTCCAAGTCTTTGCTGTTGTGAATAATGCTGCAATAAACATACGTGTGCATGTGTCTTTATAGCAGCATGATTTATAGTCCTTTGAGTATACACCCAGTAATGGGATGGCTGGGTCAAATGGTATTTCTAGTTCTAGATCCCTGAGGAATCGCCACACTGACTTCCACAATGGTTGAACTAGTTTACAGTCCCACCAACAGTGTAAAAGTGTTCCTATTTCTCCACATCCTCTCCAGCACCTGTTGTTTCCTGACCTTTTAATGATTGCCATTCTAACTGGTGTGAGATGGTATCTCATTGTGGTTTTGATTTGCATTTCTCTGATGGCCAGTGATGGTGAGCATTTTCTCATGTGTTTTTTGGCTGCATAAATGGCTTCTTTTGAGAAGTGTCTATTCATGTCCTTCGCCCACTTTTTGATGGGGTTGTTTGTTTTTTTCTTGTAAATTTGTTTGAGTTCATTGTAGATTCTGGATATTAGCCCTTTGTCAGATGAGTAGGTTGTGAAAATTTTCTCCCATTTTGTGGGTTGCCTGTTCACTCTGATGGTAGTTTCTTTTGCTGTGCAGAAGCTCTTTAGTTTAATTAGATCCCATTTGTCAATTTTGGCTTTTGTTGCCATTGCTTTTGGTGTTTTAGACATGAAGTCCTTGCCCATGCCTATGTCCTGAATGGTAATGCCTAGGTTTTCTTCTAGGGTTTTTATGGTTTTAGGTCTAACGTTTAAGTCTTTAATCCATCTTGAATTGATTTTTGTATAAGGTGTAAGGAAGGGATCCAGTTTCAGCTTTCTACATATGGCTAGCCAGTTTTCCCAGCACCATTTATTAAATAGGGAATCCTTTCCCCATTGCTTGGTTTTCTCGGATTTGTCAAAGATCAGATAGTTGTAGATATGTGGCATTATTTCTGAGGGCTCTGTTCTGTTCTATTGATCTATATCTCTGTTTTGGTAACAGTACCATGCTGTTTTGGTTACCGTAGCCTTGTAGTATAGTTTGAAGTCAGGTAGTGTGATGCCTCCAGCTTTGTTCTTTTGGCTTAGGATTGACTTGGCGATGCGGGCTCTTTTTTGGTTCCATATGAACTTTAAAGTAGTTTTTTCCAATTTTGTGAAGAAAGTCATTGGTAGCTTGATGGGGATGGCACTGAATTTGTAAATTACCTTGGGCAGTATGGCCATTTTCACGATATTGATTCTTCCTACTCATGAGCATGGAATGTTCTTCCATTTGTTTGTATCCTCTTTTATTTCCTTGAGCAGTGGTTTGTAGTTCTCCTTGAAGAGGTCCTTACATCCCTTGTAAGTTGGATTCCTAGGTATTTTATTCTCTTTGAAGCAATTGTGAATGGGAGTTCACTCATGATTTGGCTCTCTGTTTGTCTGTTGTTGGTGTATAAGAATGCTTGTGATTTTTCTACATTGATTTTGTATCCTGAGACTTTGCTGAGGTTGCTTATCAGCTTAAGGAGATTTTGGGCTGAGACAATGGGGTTTTCTAGATATACAATCATGTCATCTGCAAACAGGGATAATTTGACTTCCTCTTTTCCTAATTGAATACCCTTTATTTCCTTCTCCTGCCTAATTGCCCTGGCGAGAACTTCCAACACTATGTTGAATAGGAGTGGTGAGAGAGGGCATCCCTGTCTTGTGCCAGTTTTCAAAGGGAATGCTTTCAGTTTTTGCCCATTCAGTATGATATTGGCTGTGGATTTTTCATAGATAGCTCTTATTATTTTGAAATACGTCCCATCAATACCTAATTTATTGAGAGTTTTTAGCATGAAGGGTTGTTGAATTTTGTCAAAGGCCTTTTCTGCATCTATTGAGATAATCATGTGGTTTTTGTCTTTGGTTCTGTTTATATGCTGGATTACATTTATTGATTTGCATATATTGAACCAGCCTTGCATCCCAGGGATGAAGCCCACTTGATCATGGTGGATAAGCTTTTTGATGTGCTGCTGGATTCGGTTTGCCAGTATTTTATTGAGGATTTTTGCATCAATGTTCATCAAGGATATTGGTCTAAAATTCTTTTTTTTGGTTGTGTCTCTGCCCGGCTTTGGTATCAGGATGATGCTGGCCTCATAAAATGAGTTAGGGAGGATTCCCTCTTTTTCTATTGATTGGAATAGTTTCAGAAGGAATGGTACCAGCTCCTCCTTGTACCTCTGGTAGAATTCGGCTGTGAATCCATCTGGTCCTGGACTCTTTTTGGTTGGTAAGCTATTGATTATTGCCACAATTTCAGATCCTGTTATTGGTCTATTCAGAGATTCAACTTCTTCCTGGTTTAGTCTTGGGAGAGTGTATGTGTCGAGGAATTTATCCATTTCTTCTAGATTTTCTAGTTTATTTGCGTAGAGGTGTTTGTAGTATTCTCTGATGGTAGTTTGTATTTCTGTGGGATCGGTGGTGATATCCCCTTTATCATTTTTTATTGCGTCTATTTGACTCTTCTCTCTTTTTTTCTTTATTAGTCTTGCTAGCGGTCTGTCAATTTTGTTGATCCTTTCAAAAAACCAGCTCCTGGATTCATTAATTTTTTGAAGGGTTTTTTTGTGTCTCTATTTCCTTCAGTTCTGCTCTGATTTTAGTTATTTCTTGCCTTCTGCTAGCTTTTGAATGTGTTTGCTCTTGCTTTTCTAGTTCTTTTAATTGTGATGTTAGGGTGTTAATTTTGGATCTTTCCTGCTTTCTCTTGTGGGCATTTAGTGCTATAAATTTCCCTCTACACACTGCTTTGAATGTGTCCCAGAGATTCTGGTATGTTGTGTCTTTGTTCTCGTTGGTTTCAAAGAACATCTTTATTTCTGCCTTCATTTCGTTATGTACCCAGTAGTCATTCAGGAGCAGGTTGTTCAGTTTCCATGTAGTTGAGCGGTTTTGAGTGAGATTCTTAATCCTGAGTTATAGTTTGATTGCACTGTGGTCTGAGAGATAGTTTGTTATAATTTCTGTTCTTTTACATTTGCTGAGGAGAGCTTTACTTCCAAGTATGTGGTCAGTTTTGGAATAGGTGTGCTGTGGTGCTGAAAAAAATGTATATTCTGTTGATTTGGGGTAGAGAGTTCTGTAGATGTCTGTTAGGTCTGCTTGGTGCAGAGCTGAGTTCAATTCCTGGGTATCCTTGTTGACTTTCTGTCTCGTTGATCTGTCTAATGTTGACAGTGGGGTGTTAAAGTCTCCCATTATTAATGTGTGGGAGTCTAAGTCTCTTTGTAGGTCACTCAGGACTTGCTTTATGAATCTTGGTGCTCCTGTATTGGGTGCATATATATTTAGGATAGTTAGCTCTTCTTGTTGAATTGATCCCTTTACCATTATGTAATGGCCTTCTTTGTCTCTTTTGATCTTTGTTGGTTTAAAGTCTGTTTTATCAGAGACTAGGAGTGCAACCCCTGCCTTTTTTTGTTTTCCATTTGCTTGGTAGATCTTCCTCCATCCTTTTATTTTGAGTCTATGTGTGTCTCTGCACGTGAGATGGGTTTCCTGAATACATCACACTGATGGGTCTTGACTCTTTATCCAATTTGCCAGTCTGTGTCTTTTAATTGGAGCATTTAGTCCATTTACATTTAAAGTTAATATTGTTATGTGTGAATTTGATCCTGTCATTATGACGTTAGCTGGTTATTTTGCTCATTAGTTGATGCAGTTTCTTCCTAGTCTCAATGGTCTTTACATTTTGGCATGATTTTGCAGCAGCTGGTATCGGTTTTTCCTTTCCATGTTTAGTGCTTCCTTCAGGAGCTCTTTTAGGGCAGGCCTGGTGGTGAGAAAATCTCTCAGGATTTGCTTGTCTGTAAAGGATTTTATTTCTCCTTTGCTTACAAAGCTTAGTTTGGCTGGATATGAAATTCTGGGTTGAAAATTCTGTTTTTTAAGAATGTTGAATATTGGCCCCGACCCTCTTCTGGCTTGTAGAGTTTCTGCCGAGAGATCCGCTGTTAGTCTGATAGGCTTCCCTTTGAGGGTAACCCGACCTTTCTCTCTGGCTGCCCTTAACATTTTTTCCTTCATTTCAACTTTGGTGAATCTGACAATTATGTGTCTTGGTGTTGCTCTTCTCGAGGAGTATCTCTGTGGCATTCTCTGTATTTCCTGAATGTGAATGTTGGCCTGCCTTGCTAGACTGGGGAAGTTCTCCTGGATAATCTACTGCAGAGTGTTTTCCAACTTGGTTCCATTCTCCCCGTCCCTTTCAGGTACACCAATCAGACGTAGATTTGGTCTTTTCACATAGTCCCATATTTCTTGGAGGCTTTGCTCATTTCTTTTTATTCTTTTTTCTCTAAACTTCCCTTCTCACTTCATTTCATTCATTTCATCTTCCATCGCTGATACCCTTTCTTCCAGTTGATCACATCGGCTCCTGAGGCTTTTGCATTCTTCACGTAGTTCTCGAGCCTTGGTTTTCAGCTCCATCAGCTCCTTTAAGCTCTTCTCTATATTGGTTATTCTAGTTCTACATTTTTCTAAATTTTTTTCGAAGTTTTCAACTTCTTTGCCTTTGGTTTGAATGTCCTCCTGTGGCTCGGAGTAATTTGATCGTCTGAAGCCTTCTTCTCTCAGCTCGTCAAAGTCATTCTCCGTCCAGCTTTGTTCCGTTGCTGGTGAGGAACTGCGTTCCTTTGGAGGAGGAGAGGCGCTCTGCTTTTTAGAGTTTCCAGTTTTTCTGCTGTTTTTTTCCCCATCTTTGTGGTTTTATCTACTTTTGGTCTTTGATCATGGTGATGTACAGATGGGTTTTTGGTGTGGATGTCCTTTCTGTTTGTTAGTTTTCCTTCTAACAGACAGGACCCTCAGCTGCAGGTCTGTTGGAGTACCCAGCCATGTGAGGTGTCAGTCTGCCCCTGCTGGGGGGTGCCTCCCAGTTAGGCTGCTCGGGGGTCAGGGGTCAGGGACCCACTTGAGGAGGCAGTCTGCCCGTTCTCAGATCTCCAGCTGCGTACTGGGAGAACCACTGCTCTCTTCAAAGCTGTCAGACAGGGACATTTAAGTCTGCAGAGGTTACTGCTGTCTTTTTGTTTGTCTGTGCCCTGCCCCCAGAGGTGGAGCCTACAGAGGCAGGCAGGCCTCCTTGAGATGTGGTGGGCTTCACCCAGTTCGAGCTTCCTGGCTGCTTTGTTTACCTAGGCAAGCCTGGGCAATGGCGGGCGCCCCTCCCCCAGCCTCGCTGCCGCTGCTGCCTTGCAGTTTGATCTCAGACTGCTGTGCTAGCAATCAGCGAGACTCCGTGGGCGTAGGACCCTCCGAGCCAGGTACGGGATATAATCTCGTAGTGTGCCGTTTTTTAAGCCCATCGGAAAAGCGCAGTGTTCGGGTGGGAGTGACCCGATTTTCCAGGTGCCGTCTGTCACCCCTTTCTTTGACTAGGAAAGGGAACTCCCTGACCCCTTGCGCTTCCCGAGTGAGGCAATGCCTCGCCCTGCTTCGGCTGGCGCTTGGTGCGCTGCACCCACTGACCTGCGCCCACTGTCTGGCACTCTGTAGTGAGATGAACCCGGTACCTCAGATGGAAATGCAGAAATCACCCGTCTTCTGCGTCACTCACGCTGGGAGCTGTAGACCGGAGCTGTTCCTATTAGGCCATCTTGGCTCCTCCTCCTACTTAATTGTTAATTATTTTCTATCTTCATTCTCTGGAGTGTGAGCACCAAGATATTAGTGACTTTGTTTTTGTTCATTGCTTTATCCTCATTGCTCTCAACAATGCTTGACATGTAGCAAGTGTTCAACACATTTGTTGGATAAATAAGTGAATTTACATTTTGTCATTTGTGTTGTTAGAAGGAGTTCCTATTATGTAGGGTTAATTTTGAGACTATCGATTTTGGCATTTTATAAAACCCAAAGCATGTAATAATAATTTGATTCGTTCAGAAAACTCACATTGATTATTTAGAATTTTTATTGTGATTTAGGAAATGGTTGGCCATTAGTCAGAAATGTTAATTGAAGTTCCTAATGTCAGTCTTACAGTAGAAAAAAATATGAGGTGTTTATCTATAGGGCCTTGTGCTTGTTATAGAAGATGGTATAAACCTGAAATACAACTTAGCTCCCCAAATAATCCTTTGTCTTTGGGGATAATGGTGAATCTGGTTTGATATAATTTTCAGCATATAGTTGTACATCATCTGTTTTTCATCATTTTTGTTCTTTTCATAGGTTGTTGCTGAAAAAGCTATTCCAGTTCATTTTTGAACTGCTAGAGATCTGATCTCTTTACATTACATGTATCAAAACATCTTTATGTACACTATGAATATGTACACTTATTATTTACTGGTTAAAAAAGAAAAGAAAAGAAAAGAAATAAAGCCCTAACACATCTCAAGGGTAGAGCTTTTGCAACTGAGGAAGGAAAAGTAAAATGCATAGCTGCCTTAAATTGTGTAAACCAATGACTGAGCCTTTGATCTTAGATTGTCTTGCTGGATGTAGTTCACCTTGAACCAGATACCATGTTTACCACTCACTAGTGTATGTAAGGATTTTTTTTTAAAGGACTTTGAAAATGAAAATATTCTATCAGCTTTAAAAAAATTAAGTTGACACTTTTTTCTTTTCTCTCTTTTTTTTAAGACTTCAACATCTAAATATATGATTACCCATTACTTTTGCATTATATTCATAGTGAGGTAAATTTTAAAAGAGATAGAAATCTTCATTGATATAGAAGTGTACTGTAACATAATTTTTTAGTTAAAAAATTTTTCCTAAGATTTAAGGGCATTGTTGTTTGTCCTCCTATATCTGGAGAAAATATGGAAGTTCCTTTAAATAAACCACTGAATTTTTTGCTCAATTACCAGTGTGTGTGTGTGTGTGTGTGTGTGTGTGTATGTATGTGTGTTTGTGTGTATCATCTTATCTTTATTACTTATTGATAATTTGGGGCTTCCAAATACCAAAATTTCTTCAAGAAAAAGACAGCATTTTCTCAGAAAGGGTTCTAATATGTATCAAAACTTCTTTAGAGTTTAAACCAGGCATATTAAATGCCTAATTGAGAAGGAAAGTTTTGATTTTTTAAAAGGATGAAGCATTGATTTTTCACATTTTATAGAGTTATTCAATTTAATCACCAAATTCATGATGCACACTACTCAGATAATATGAGATTATAACATGATTCCAAATATGTGAATTTATAGATAAAGTAATGCTAAACGTTAAGGCAAATTTAAGATATACCATTGAGAAGAGATTGGAAAGAATTTTAAATTTCAGAAAACACAAATTCTGTACTTAGTTTTGCTACAGGGTTGTCTGTGATCTTGGCAAGTCAGAAACTTCATTTGTCTTAGTGTTCCCATCTGTAAAATTGTGGTCATTATACTTGACACTTCCTTTCTTAAAAGGGGATGTTATGAGGATGAATAAGGTAATGCATTGTGGTAAAATGCTTTGAGCTCCTTAGAAAAAGTGTGTTACATAAATACAGAGTATTATCTCACATGAAAAATAGCTGCAGTACTTTAAATATACCTACTAAGAGGCACAATCATCTCATCTATTTTTTTTCTCAATGTGGAAAATTTTTTACATTAAAAGAAATGATCTTCATCTATTGATTGGCAAATACATCATCAGCTATCTCTATTATTGTGTCACTAATACTCTTTTAAAACTTAAATAGTAATCAAACACACTATCAGTCTTTCCTGTTCTTTACAAGGGAAACTTTGGAGTCATCTTCAGCTCCTTTCTCTCATTTGACCCCTAAATATTTACAGTTCTTGCTGGGTAATGCTTATGAGCTCTATTTTTTTTTCATCTCTTTATATTTTGCTATGCACCCTGCAGCGAGTTATAGTAGCTAATCGATCAGACTTACAAGCCAGACTGTTTGGGTTCAAATCCCAGTTCTTTCATTTACTATGCAAACTTTGGCATGTAATTTAATGACCTTGTGCCTCAATTTGCTCGTCAGTAAAACAGTTACAATAATGTTGCCTATCTGAACAGGTCGTAGAGGGAAATAAGTAAGATGATACATGTAAAGCTATTTATAACTTTGCCTGGCACATAATACACTCTCAGTAGACATTAGCTATTATCGGTATATGGACAACTATAATAATTGTGTATTCATTTATTGTTCATGAGGCTTATCGAGGCACTAGCGTATTCCGCTAGTCCACCTTTACAACACAATGCAACTTTCTTTTAGAAATTAAGTTATTCCCTTTTAAATTTTGAATTGAATCCTCCCCAAGCTCTGAAATGATCATCTTCCATCTCCTAATTATGTGCTTGAAATGAAACCTCTAACATTCTTGAAGAACCACTTGCATCTATACAAATTATCCAACCTCATTGTCAATAACGCACAGGTGGGCATGCTGCTTCAATCAGGTAAATATCCCTGTCATTCTTCACCAGTGTATCATCAACTTCCAGTTTTAGTCTCCATTTCTCCTTATAAATATATGCCCATCCTTTCTCTGCTTCGGATTTCTGTTCCTCTCTGGAGCTCTTCCCAAGGATTCTCTCTCTTCCGATTTGACTAATCATTTCAAGAATAATAACACATCAGCACATTGTGTAGATCACTGATGTATAACTGAATTTGATTATGTAGTTGGTGTGTTTATATTTTTATGTGCAGTATAACTTTATATTGCTTTTTGTATCAGGGTGAGGCTATATCCATACCAAAGAAAGGAGCCTGGAGACCTTTTCTCCCTTGCCCTGGGTACTGTAAATTAGGCTGGAATGGGTATTGTATGTACAGAGTTCTCCGACAAGCTCCTGAATTTATCCTTTGTTGGTTTAGCAGTTCCATAGCATACGGCTCCTCTGACTTCCTGTTTAGTCTCTTAGGTCCCCAAATTTTAAATGAACTGCTTACTACTGCAGGTTTCAAGCTGAGTGCATATCATATGTAAATATATTGTTTTAGGGAGCCTTAGAGAAAAGTTCTAAGCAAACAGTAGTAACTACCCATAGATTCATAGATGCTGAAGAATAGAAAAGTCCTAAAATGTCACCTGTCCTTCAAGACCAAGGAGTCACAGTAATTTCTGTTTCTATTAGCTTAATAAGAGATAATTCCAGAGAATAACCTGATATTTCTATATCTCCATAAAACATTAATTTAAAATATTACTCACTTCTGGTTTAGAGCTATTGCATCATGTAATTCTAGTAAAGCTTGGAGCCAATTTCTGATTTGCGGATGCAATATCTAATGCTGAATTGGAAGCTAATACTATTTTTACAGTTCACTCTTTTTTGTGTCAACATTTCCCCCAATAGTTTAGTAATGTCTATTCTGCCTTTTAACACTGTGTGTGTGTGTGTGTGTGTGTGTGTGTGTGTGTGTGTGTGTGTGTGTATGACAGGGTGATACAGGAGGGAGGCTCACATTTTTGTAAAAACTGTGCAGAAAAGACACAGTATACAATTAATCCTTGAACAAAACAAGGGTTAGGGATGCCAACTCCCACCACAGTCAAAATCCGAATGTAAATTTTAAAGCTCCCCAAACTTAAATACTAATAACCAACCTTTGACTGGAAGTCTTACCAAACATATAGTTGATTAACGCATATTTTGGATATTATATCTATTATATATTGCATTTTTTTTTTTTTCGCGACGGAGTCTCGCTCTGTCACCCAGGTTGGAGTGCAGTGGTACGATCTCGGCTTACTGCAAGCTCTGCCTCCCGGGTTCACGCCATTCTTCTGCCTCAGACTCCTGAGTAGCTGGGGCCACAGGCGTCTGCCACCATGCCCGGATAATTTTTTTTTGTATTTTTAGTAGAGACGGGGTTTCACCGTGTTAGCCAGGATGGTCTCGATCTCCTGACCTCGTGATCCGCCCGCCTCGGCCTCCCAAAGTGCTGGGATTACAGGCGTGAGCCACCGCGCCCGGCCATATATTGCATTCTTACAGTAAAGTAAGCTGGAGAAAAGAAAATATTATTAAGAAAATTGTAAGGAAAATATATTTACTGTGCATTAACTGGAAGTAGATCATCATAAATGTCTTCATCCTTGCTGTCTTCATATTGAGTAGGCCGAGGAGAAGGAAGAAAAAGAGGAGTTGGTATCTTACTGTCTTAGGGGTGGCAAAGGCAAAAGAAAATCTACCTGTAATTGAACCAGCGCAATTCAAACCCCTGTTGTTCAAGGGTCATCTACAGATAAAGGCAGATTTCTGAGAGGCAGAATTGAGCATAAGAGCGAAAATTTACTCCTCAGAATATATGGAGATCTTTAAGAGGGTCTTAGACTTTCACAGGGCTAGGCTTTGGAATTTGAGCCAACCTTACTGAGATCTCAGATATAAGGTACCCCCACTTTATATCTGGGTTAGACATATAACATTATAAATTAATAAGGATAGTTTTCATTGGATACATTTGAAAGTTGGTCTTATTATACAGAGCCACAGACCATCTTCATTAGAATCACATGGAATTTTGTTAAATTACTAGGCCTCTCTCCGGATTCACCAAAAGAATCTCTGGGGTTGGATGCAGAGATGCTTATGCACATTGAAGTTAAAAACCACTGCCTTTGAAGCATATCTCCTTATTTTGTGTATATTTCCCCTTTAGACTGTAGGTATCTTGAGAGCCATAATATTTTATATTTTTGCAAAATTTATGGGATTTCTATTTAATTTGTAGGTCTCTTGGCAACCATCCCATCACAAATGCTCAATAAATATTGTTAAAATACAATGGAATTACCTCAAATGTATTTGCCATTTTATATACTTCCAGAAAATCCCACAAGATGTCAGAAGGAATATAACTGTGTAAAAATGTCTGCTCTCATTGTATTCTTGAAAATCGCTGAGATGATAGATTTTAAGTGTTCTCAACCCACAAATGTTAAGTATGGGAAGTAATGCAGATGTTAATTAGCTCAATTTAGCCATTTCACAATCTACACATTTTAAAACAGTATTTATCTTGTTGTACATGATAAATACATACAATTTTAATTTGTCAATTAAAAATAAATGAATAAGTAAGGAAATAAATACATGCTCTCTTTTGCTTTCCTGTTTTGAGGTTCCTGAACACGAATACATTAGGTAACAGTTGAATTAGGACTTGAATTGACAGTCATTATAGTTTAAGGTGAATATAGTATCCACCCGCATCTCCATGTTTTAACCAATTGTATAAGCTTTCTAGATGTATGGAATGACCTTGGCCCCAGGCATGTTGGTAAACTTTCCAGAAGGGTGAGACTTCACAGATCTGTCACATTCAGCAGTTCTTACAGTTGCTAGCGGCCCCCTGGACTCCAGACCTGTATGTCCAACTGCCTTCTCAGTCTACTTGATGCCTACCAGACACCTCAATTTCAATCTTCCTGTGTGTTCAAAGTCCTCAGAGCCAGCTTGAGCTCCTCTCTCTCTTTTGATCTATGTCTTCTCTCTGAGCAAATATTTTACTGCTATCTGCAAAGTATGTGTGCAGAGTCTAACCACTTTTTAAAAAATTTAAAGTGGTTTTAGGTTTACAGCAAAACTGAATGGAAGGTGGAGGGATTTCTCATATACTCCCAGCTCCCACAACTGCATAGCTCCCCCATTATCAACATCCACTACCAGAGTGGTGCATTTGTTACAACTGATGAACTTACATTGACACACCATTATCATGCAAAGTCCATAATTTACATTAGGGTTCACCCTTGGTTTAACTACGTTTTAATTCTTTCACTTCATCCCTGGTCCAAGTCAAGATCATCTTTTTCCCAGATCGTTTCAATAGCCTCCTAACTTGTCTCTCTACTTCTACTTTTGCTTCCTTTGGTCTATCCTCAATGTAGTGGCCATGGTGAAAAAATATTTACCAGATAATATCATTACTTGGCTCCAAACTCTCCAATGCTTTCCATTTCATCCAGAATAAAAGCCAAAGTCCTTACAACAAAAACCAGTTTTATTTTAGCAATATAACAAATTTCATTTTAGCAACATATTATAATTGTATTAGAAGAAAGCAAATGCTGAATTTAGATAAGTAATATTTATTGACCTTTAAATTATGTTTTACTCTGTGCATTAAAAAACAATTACTTGGTATATACAAGCTTTAATTGCACCCTATCCATTAATATTTATCAAGTATAATATTTGTTAGTTATTAATCAAGCACATGCTCCATACTGGTTCAAGCAGTATAAGTATCCAAGATACTGTAGAACATATGGTTTATTGCAGACCTATGGTTTGAAACCTGGATAGAGTTGGGAAAGCCAACCACTGTGATTGCCGAAAGATCTTCATTTCTTTTGGCATATTTAGTGTGAGATATTGCAATTTTTGGTGACTTTCTTTCTCTTTCTTTTCTTTCTTTCTTTCCTTTCTTTTTCTTTCTTTCTTTCTTTCTTTCTTTCTTTCTTTCTTTCTTTCTTTCTTTCTTTCTCTTTCTTTCTTTCTTTCTTTCTTTCTTTCTTTTCTTTCTTTCTCTTTCTCTTTCTTTCTTTCTTTCTTTCTTTCTCTTTCTTTCTTTCTTTCTTTCTTTCTTTTTCTTTCTTTCTTTCTCTCTTTCTTTCTTCCTTTCCTCTCTCTCTCTTTCTTTTTTTTTTTTTTGAGACAGAGTCTTGATCTGTTGCCCAGGCTGGAGTTCAGTGGCACGATCTTGGCTCACTGCAAACTCTGCCTCCTGGGTTCAAGCGACTTTCTTGTCTCAGCCTCCCAAATAGCTGGGATTACAGGTGCACGCCTAATTTTTGTATTTTTAGTAGAGAAGGGGTTTTAGTAGAGAAGGGGTTTCGCCATGTTGGCCAGGCTGACCTCAGGTGATCCACCCGACTTGGCCTCCCAAAGTGCTGGGATTACAGGCTTGAGCCACTGTGCCCTGCTGACATTTTTTTTAGAATGGAATGTTTTATTACACTTTTAATGTTGCTTCATGTAATCCTTCTTTCCACAATTAGTGTCTTTCAAACTTGTTATGGTTATAATGAGATCATATGTAGAAAACATTAGAGAGAAAGTTGAGATTTGGACTTTGTCTTCACAATTTCTATATTACATTTTGTTTTTACCCACCTTTCACTCACATAAAAGAAATTGAAAGAAAACCCACCAATTTCAACACATGGGGCATTTAAAACTAATGACTAAAGGTAAGTTTTGTTTATCTAAAAAATAAACCTCCTCTGACAGTAGGGTCAATGTTACAATAATAAAACCAAAATTTCTGTCTTATAAAATTCATAGCTTACTTAGAAATGGATGTTAATTAGAAACTTGGCATACTTACACACATAAGTATGCAATATATAAAATAATATTAAATGACTAATGGCTAAAACACTGACTTAAACAAATCTTCCCAAACGTTGCATTATTTAATGATGACAAAAGCCTCAATTTCCCATTGCACAATACTTAACTGAACAAACAAACAAACAAACAAACCCAGAGCTGTGGGAAATACACATTTAACATTTGTTTTTAAATGTAAAAATGTTTCTGGGGTTTGATAGCCTATAGGAAATGTTTCACTATAGTATTCCTTTCAAGGAATTGAGGTACTTCAGCGGCCAGTAAACCGCTATTGCATTAGTGCTATAGCTGTGAAGTAATATTTTTTAGAATGTTATTTTCTTTTCAAGGAAAAAAATTAGAGAGTGGTACTTAGACTAAAGTATAATCCTGTCAATTTTACATAAAATATTGATAAGAGATAAAAACTTAGCATCCCTGGTGTGAATTTACTAGATTGCACAAAATACAAACAAGTAGATTAAGGAAAGTTAACATAATCCTTTTATGGGAACTAAAATCAATTACATGTCAGCTTTGTAGTATTATAAATGTATTTAGTCAGCATAGAATTTTTCCAGCAGTGTTTCCTGCAGATTGAAATTGACTAACCAGATGTTAAATATTAAATAGAACTAATCAAAGCATGGTTCAAGAGACTTTAAAAACAATGATCAAAGGGAGCTATTTATTACCTGATTCATGTTACTGTTGAAATATTGGCTCTGTGATATTATATTTAAACTTAGTTTTTTTTTAAAGACTGCATTTTCTAGCTTTACATGAACAATAATTAATGTTAATAAATTAACTCATAAAGTATGTAACTGGATCATTGTACATAATAATGGTTGGAAACTTGACCAAGAAATGTAAAGCTCAATTCACAGACATAAAACCTTAGTGGGATATTTAGTACATATATAAGTTTTAGTAATAATATAACTACTGAAAAACACTAGGGCTCATTTACTCCATGTCTGTACACATACACATAAACAAAATAAAAACAAAAACAAAAAAGAATGCAGTGATAGAATTATTTCTGAGGGATCTTGGAGCAATCATTTGCTCAGGCTTTTTTTATTCTAGAAAATTAATTATTCTTCTTTTAAAAATAAACAAAAATGGACTTTGGGGGAAAGATTTCTAAGACAAGGCATTCCTTAATCTCTTATAAGCTCATTCCATTGTTTTATCATAGTGACAATTTATTTTTTGCTTATTCAATAAGAATCTGTCATAAGATCTTGTCTGGACCCATTTTCTCTTGAAATATATTTGCAATAGATGGAAAAGCAGAGTTAATAGAATTTTCAGTACCTAATGTTATAATTTGACTATTATAAATATTTTACATAAATAATTTATACAGCTTAAGAAAACATTTTTCAAAGTTCCAGGGTTCCAATAAACAATGAAATTGACAACCATTCATATGCCAGTAAATGTTTTCACCAATATACATAGACTTTTTTTTGTATTTCATTTGGGATGATAAAATAGGGAAATGAGGTCAAACTGTAAAATTGTTTCCCAAATGTTCTATCTTATTCTTAAATTCCCTTGCTAAATTGTTTTTTTGAACCAATTTTCATTCAACTTCTGCTTGTTTTTAATTACTTGTATTCTACTAGTAATCACTTTTAATCGACCATTATAACAACTTTTTAAAGAAAAAAATTTATTTTGGCATAGGTGATATTGATTTTTCTATAGAAATGAAGATTTACTGTATGCCATGGTAGCTTCTGTGTCTTGAATATATGAAGTTCCATTATAGTTCTAAAAGCAAATCAAGAAAAATGTATTAACTGGAGAGGGTGTTGTATATTCATACACCGTGATCATACATGTCTATCTTTAAATTTCATTCATACACTGTCCTAAAATGCCCCTTTTCAGCTGGTGCAGGACCTACCCTCTCCAAAAGTTCTTCTCCCAGTTGAAGTAGAAATCATTGCTGAAATAAAGCACTATACAACGTTTCGACTTTGGCGTTTGTGAGCTTACCTTACATGATATTGGACACAGAATAGTTAAACAGGAGTATTCTCCAGACAAGTACAGCAGGAACCAAGGAGAAGGTGTAGGGTGGGGAAAGACATTTTATATTCGAATGTCTTATGGTACCTATATTTTCCCCCATTGTGAGTCTCCAGACTTTTTTTTTTCCTCCTTGCCATTTGGACTTCAGTTAGGTATCCTGCTAAAAGGATATTAGAACTGCCTTCTTTGCTTCAGCATTGCATGAAGATAAAGCATGCAGAAGGCATGAATGGGCACCTGAGGGCTCAGATGGACTAGTGAAAGCAGAGATGATGAGTAGAAAAATTTTGGCAAAGCCTGTGTGAGAAATGTGTTTGTTTGAATCCTGAACATTGAGAAAGGAAACAAAGGCTAAGTAATAAGTGTTCTGCGCGATGACAATATGACCTTGCAGATGACACTAGCTGAGCATGACCATGGACACAAAGACCAATAACAGCAATAAAACAACACCAGATGACAAATCCAGACCAGACCTACAAGGGCTATATTTTATTATCCGTTTTGGATTAAGAGATTTTACCAGGTCTCTAGCAAGGAGAAATAAGTACAATCGAAACCTCACTTTACATCATTTATAGTTTTGTTGCATATAATTAAGCTTTAGTTAACGTATGATAGTATGTATCTAATTCTCATTTTTAAATGTTTTTATTATCATCAGTAAATCCTTTTACTGTGCCCATGAAACTAAGCTTCAAATTGAAAAAACAATCATTCAAACTCTGCATATGATTTATTTTCAAATTTTTGACTTTTATTTCATGAAGACTACAAGATAATTTTGTTGTTGTTGAGAATGGAGATGACACTTGAATAGTCTCTAATTGTTGGAGTTTAGATTCTCTTGCCCAGAGCAGGAAAAACTGGGTAAACAGCACCGCTTATAGAATGTTGCTTTAGAAAGGCCCCTTTCTCACTGGGTAGGGTAGAAATTACATAAGGAATCCAGATTCTTTGAGTGGCAGTTTTCTATATAGTAAGCTCTGTGTGCTTAACAGATTAACTGCTTTTCATGTTATTCTTTTCCCCAGGATTCAGGAAAGAAAATGACATAATAGATATTTTTTTCCCTGGGATCAGAGTAAACCTCCTTAGTCAAACCCAGTTGCTCCTTGGGAGGTAAAGAGCGAACTAACCTATGTTTCTACAAGTTACCAAATCATTTACATTTATTACCCTTGCGCAGTGAGGCCCCAAAGCCTCAGAGCTGTGATTCTCCAAATCACTGCATTCTAAGCTTGACTGATTGGTTTAAAAGCTTGTGAGAGATTTATAATGATTCACTGTGTAAGCCAATGATTTTATATTTAAGTCAAGAGACTGCTTATAAATGGCAGAAAACTTTAGGCTCTCCTTGGACACAGCAGGTGACCAACTGTTTCCATAGATTTAGATAAAAATAGCATTTCCTTTGCGCTGTTTGAACCCAAAATTTGTAAAGCACACACACATTATAATGTATACAAGCATATAATATTACCTCTCCATTTATAGTGCTATCTTTGGATTATTTGACCATATTAATATCTGTGTGTATTTGCCACAGAAACTTAACAAGCTCTGTTGCTTTTGAACTTTTTCTTATTTACTCTCATAAACTTTAATTGCTTCCTCAAATTCCAGATTTGTTATTTAAATAGCATATATTGCTGTACATTAAGTTTGGAAAAAAATGCTATGCTTAGGTTACTGTGATGTTTCACAACACACAGTAGCAGTATCTTTTATGGTTTAAAGTTTATACAGATAAATTGCCACTGTTTAAATGGTATAAATGAAAGAAATAAGATTAATAGAGTACATATTGAAAAATGTTAACCTTTATATGGTATTTTGCCTTGTTTGATTGATGCAGAAAATTTGAGATTTGTGAAGAACACCAAATGTTTAATCAGGAAGTTGTTAAGCGTCATAAAGTTCTTAAAGGAAAGGCTGCAGAAAAGTCTATGCTACCAGCTTTGGAAGAGTCTTTACCAACCAGTCTGTTTATTTCCTCCAGCAATACTGAGGGCGCCAACTGGATTGGGACAACCTTCCAAGGAGATGCAATTACTTTTTTTTTTTTTTTTGAGACAGAGTTTTGTTCTTGTTACCCAGGCTAGAGAGCAATGGCCCAATCTCGGCTCATTGCAACCTCTGCCTCCTGGGTTCAAGCGATTCTCCTGCCTTAGCCTCCCCAGTAGCTGGGATTACAGGTGTGCACCACCACGCCTGGCTAATTTTTTTGTGTTTTCAGTAGAGATGGGGTTTCACCATGTTGGCCAGGCTGACCTCAAGTGATCCACCTGCCTCGGCCTCCCAAAGTGCTGGGATTACAGGCGTGAGCCACCGTGCCCAGCCTGGAGGTGCAATTTCTAATGTACTTGTTAGAAGAAAATTAAGTCACACCATTCTTTTAATCTGCCTTATTAACCACAATTCAAACCACCCTCTTCTGTCTCTTTTCTCACACTGTGAAGTCCCCACAACTTGTCTCCTGTTCCCTTGCTCATTTCAGTCTTGTCATCCATCCCTGCTGCCTATTATACAAGAGGCTTTCCACTGCTGCCTGTTTCTCTAGGCTTCTTCCTTTTCAGATGAGTTCTACATTGGTTTCTCCACATTGCCCGGCACTATTCTGTCTTATTTGGAATATGTGCCCAGCATTACCTCAAGGATGGCATGACATTTAATAACATACCCTTAGGCTCAGACCCAGCTTATAACCTCTGTTCTTGCACCTACTAGCTGTATTAATTTGGGCAGGTTATTTAACCTGTCTGAGCCTCAGTTTCCTGGTTTGTAAAAGGGAAAATAAATTTACCTAAAAAGATTGTGGTGAGGACTAAACAAGCTAATGTATGGAAAAAATGCTTAGCGCAAGAATTGGCATGTAATAAGTGCTCAACATATTATTGCTATTGTTATTAAGGTTATCCTGATAGTGATTACACTAATTTCTTGCCCTAATTGACTGGTGTCTCCCATACACAGTTACTTTCCTGGAATCTTTTTTTAATAGGAACCACTCTTTCTTTCAAACTCCTATAATCTCTGTTTCTTGAAGCTCTTATACTCTACTTATTCTAGTTCATATAGGTCCATCTTGTGTATGTGAATATCAGGAAAGAATTTGTCACATGCTTTGCTAAAGTTCAAGTATATCAATGGATTTTGCTGACCTACTAGTATATCTTATTCAGAAAGAAATGATGTAAGTCTTATATATTCTTGGTCAACTCAAATTGTGTTCTAGGAACTCTCAAACAGCCCTTTAGTCACTTGCTGTAGCTTCTTGTCTAGATTTGTTGTCAGGCTTCATGTTGTAGTGTTTGCAGAGTTTACCTCTCTTTTTGATCACTGTACCCCATTTTGCACCCACATCTCTGCTCCTTGAACATTCTCTTTTCCATTCTCTCATTATTCAAAGGTCACACTGTCTTTTGTTTTAAACTTCTCTGTTTTAAACTTAAAAAAAAATTTAGATTCAGGGAATGCATGTTCAAATTTGTTGGATGGATATATTATTACACAATGGTGAGGCTTGGGTTCCAGTGTGCCCATCACCCAAATAGTGGACATTGTACCCACAAGTAATTTTTTAACCCTCACACTCTTTCTTCCCTCCTCCATTTTGGAGTCCCCAGAGTCTATTATTTTCATCTTTATGTTCATATGTAGCTATTGTTTAGCTCCTACTTATAAATGAGAACATGCAGTATATAATTTTCTATATTTGAGTTATTTCTCTTAGGATAATGGCCTCCAGTTCCATCCATGTTGCTGCAAAGACATGATTTAACTCTTTATGGCTGCATAGTATTCCAGGATGTATATGTACCACATTTTCTTTATCCAGTCAATCACTGGTGGACACTTAGGTTGATTCCATAACTTTGCTATTGTGAATAGTGCTGAAATAAACATATAAGTGAAGGTGTCTTTTTGATATAATGATTTCTTTTCCTTTGGGTAGCTGTTCACTAGTGAAATTGCTAGGTCGAATGGTAGTTCTACTTTTATTTCTTTGAGAAATTGCCATACTGTTTTCTATAGATGTTTTACTAATTTACATTCCCACTAACAGTGGATAAACAATTACTTTTCTCCACATCCATGCCAATATGTGTTGTTTTTTGACTTTTTAGTAATAGCCACTCTGGTATAAGATGATATCTTCATATGGTTTTAATTTGCATTTCTCTGATGATTAGTGACATTAAGCATTTTTTTCATATGCTTGTTGACCATTAGTATGTCTTCTTTTGAGAGATATCTGTTCGCAAAGATTTCTGTCAATGGCTGGGAAATCCCATTTGCAAGTTCTCTCAATAAGCTTGAGTGCAATTTGTCTATATCAGGAAACTGAATGTGGTAGAGCAGTGAGGTGCTCGCTTCAATTGCTTTCCTCATCTGAGCCTTGGCTTTCCTCTTACCATTGTTAATTGGGGGAGCTCATTACTACCACCCACTTATTATTCGCTTCCTCTCCGGCTCTGCCAAATTTTTGTGGGTCATGTCTCTTATTGGAGGAGGCTGTAAACCTTTGGAATTTAGTTTACTTTATTGCCCTGTGATTCTCTGATGGGCCCAAGGAAAGTTATGACTTTTGTATGTTAGTCAAGTTTTTCTCTTAGGGTGAATGACATGCTCTGGGGCTTTCTACATTCTAAGTGGAAGAGGAACTGTCCCCCCTCCTCTCCACCTCATCATTTCTTAATCCCTTCGGATCTGCTTTTTGGCATAACCAATATAGAAAGACTGCCTTATGGGTCTGTTATTGGTGCATTAGGCAGCTTTGCTGCAGTGACAAACCACCCAAAAGTATCAGTCATGTAAAATAACAAATATTTATTTTTTATGCATATAATGTATTGTCACTTGTGGGTGGGGTGCTACTTCTATGGTTCTCTCTCCTCAGCTCTGTTGGGCTCTCTCTATTTGTCTTCTCATTCAGAACTTAGGTGATAGACAGCCCCAATTTTGTATGTGGCAGCTGGAAGGGATAAGAAAAATCACGGATGGCCGGGCGCGGTGGCTCACGCTTGTAATCCCAGCACTTTGGGAGGCCGAGGCGGGCGGATCACGAGGTCAGGAGATCGAGACCATCCTGGCTAACACGGTGAAACCCCGTCTCTACTAAAAATACAAAAAAATTAGCCGGGCGTGGTGGCAGGCGCCTGTAGTCCCAGCTACTCGGGAGGCTGAGGCAGGAGAATGGCGTGAACCTGGGAGGCGGAGCTTGCAGTGAGCCGAGATTGCGCCACTGCACTCCCACCTGGGCCACAGAGCGAGACTCCGTCTCAAAAAAAAAAAAAAAAAAAAGAAAAAAAAAAAAAAGAAAAATCACGGAAAACTTGTGATGCTTCTTAAATTACCTACTCATTTGTAACATATGCCCATCCACTGACATTTCATTGTCCACTCACATCCAATGTAGGATGTGTATTTCTGTTGCAGGAGGCATGGGCAGTCACACGCCAAGGCATAGGAAAATGTAATCCTCTTTCAGGGGGAGCAGGGTAAATAATTATGAATCAGGATACAATCTACCCAACTGGTGAAAGCCAATTTTCTTGTACTTGCCTTGTCTACAATATATGAATTCTTTTAATTGCATAATTTTATTGGTCAGAAAGATTTTGTCTTCAGAAATGGTTTTAAATGATAAGAAAATATATCATTTTATATAAGAAAAAGCCCAGAGGAGACTAGAATCCAGACAGAGCATGTTAGAGCTGTGACTTTGCTTTCTCGTAAACTCTTTATTTTCTCCTTCCCACTTGAGTTGGCTTTTTGCTTGTACCTGCTGCACTCATGGTTGCAAGGTGGCTTCTAATGATAATTGTTGCTGCATGTAGCTTTGGGATTATCTAGAAAACCTCTCCCAACTTAGAAATATAAATTCTTCCCTTCAACATGATTGAGTCATTATAGAAAATGCATATTAGTTTCCAGGGCAATTCATTAGTCTACGTGGCCTTGATTAATCATCTGGGATGGAAGGGATGTTGCAGAGTTAACCATAACGTTCCTGTTTATTAAAGCTATCAGGAATCTAAATATTTTTCTCTTTCATCTTCCTATGGTTATATATTTATGTGTGTGTGTGTGTGTGTGTGTGTTTGTGTGTGTATGCATATGTACATATGCATATGTAGACTCACATTATTTATAATTTATAGTCTTCTCTTCTTTAAACTCATTTCCTTGGTGATCCCATCCACTGAGAAAACTATCAACCCTTTGGAGTAGTTCTCACTTTTTTGCTCTAGATTCCAGTTACTGGCTTATGGTTCTATGTGAATTTCCTGCTGGAACCTCATTCCTGCTGGAACATTTCCTTTCAATCCAGCTTCTCCTCTTGACTGTCTTCTTCATCACCAGTCTTGAAATCTGAATGATCTTTTTCCTTTTCTCATGTTTTTGTATATTCAGTCTATTTGTATTCATAATTACACTTTCTTTGAAATGTTTTTTATGTTCATTCTTTTCTTTTGTTTAGCACTTGCTGTGGAGTACCAATAGTGACTAGAAAGACACTGTGGCTCTCAGAGATAAGCACATATAAAACATAAGGGGACATTCCCTTGGTAGTTCTAGAAACACTTGACTGTGAACTGGAGGCTTAGCGTCCAGCAGATGTAGACAAGAGTCAGTGATATTTGTATTATTATTGGTCAAGTAACACCTTTTTATCCATAGGCTGGGGAAATCTGGGGAAACCATGGTTACATAGATGTATTCTGTTCTGGTAAAAGGGAACATTCATTGTGAAACATGGCACACACACCCTTGTCTCTGACCTTCGCTTAAAACATTCCATCAGCCAGAAATGGCCTCCCCCGTCTCCACCTACTTTATGACTTAGGGCACATATCTGCCTTTTCATAAAGTTTTCTGTAAGGCAATATAATAGAGTTTGTCTCAGCATGGATTTGGGCTTGATTTCTGGTTCTTTGTGATCTTAACCTCTCAAAACTTGTTTCTCCATTTGAAAAAGGGCATAACCTCAAAAAAAAAAAAAAGAAGAAAAAGGGCATAACAGTATCTGTATTAATGTCTATTGCTGTATAGAAATATTACCACAAACTTCATGGCTTAAAACAACAAATGTCCATTAGGTCACAGCTTCTACGGGTCAGGAGTCCAGACATGGCTTTGCTAAGTTTTGTGCTTTGGGAACTCTTCTGAAAGCCACAATCAAGGGGCCAGCTAGGGCTGTGGTCTCACTCAAGGCTTGACAGGGGTAGGATCTGTCTCCAAGTTCACATGATTGTTGGCAGAATTCAGTTCCTTTTCGCCTGTTGAACGAGGAGCATCAGCTCCTTTACCCTGTGGCCTCTTGTTTCTTCAAAGCCAGCAAGGTGGAAAGTCTCTCCTAGCAAGACCGATATTACAATCTTACATGTTATGATCAGGGAAATGACGTTCCACTTCTGCCATATTCTAATGACTGGAAGAAAGTCTCAGATACTGCCTGCACTCAGGCAGAGGATAATCACACCAGAATATGAGTTTCAGAAGGTGGAGATAATTAAGCGACCATATTAGAAACTATCTGCTACCATTGTTAACCCCCTACAATTTGAGAATTACGTATATGAAGATTTCAGCAAGATGCCTGATGCTTGTATTCCATAAAGGGCAGCATTATTATTCTTCCTCGCCAGATGTGATGGCAATCCTAGGAACTTCTATTTTTTATCACTCAAATGGTGCTTAGAACTACCAACTTTAAGTACAGTTATTTGTGTATACATTTAATTTTATTACAGAGTTATAAGCTTTTGGAAAGCAGGGACATATTCTTTTACACCCTTAATGCTTCCAGCATCTAGTAGTATGCCTTTCTCATAAAGAAGATTAATTACTTTATCCCTGGGCTCCCATAATCACTTACATTTCTGTACTCCAGTTCATGTCACATTGTATTATAACTAGTTATACATACCTATTTTTCTGACTAGACTGGTAGATCCTTAAGGGAAGAAAGACTGGGCCTTTTCTTTTTGCTTCTATTGCCTTTTCTTCTCTCCCTCAATTCCCTCTTACCAAGCATCAAATACAGTGCTTGGCATATAGTAGCTGCTCAAGAAATGACAGTTCCTTGAAAAAATAAATAAGAATTATTTAGAAACAATTTACTGAACGAATAAATAAATTTTAAGAGGGAGCGTCTATCACTAAACTCCCAAGAAATACTGCAAACATAGGATGCAAAAAAAGGAAAAAAGAACAAGTATAATTTTCCTACATTTTTACCTAAAATGAAAGGTTTTATAAAAATATCAATCATTTGATTTTTGAAAACAAGTAGGTTGTAGAGTACAAAAGAAATTAGTGGCACACCAAAACAAGAGAGCTGAGATTATGGCTCCTTTCTGATCCATGAAACTGCAGAATACTCTTCAAAGAAAAATAGATGTTTTAGTAGCTGTCTGCTATTTATTATTGTGTTGAATTTGATATTTTGAAAATTTGAGACATCTACCTCATAGGATTGTTGTAGGGATCAAAGGAGGTATTATGTAGAAAGTATTTAGCATAGTTAATTTAGTTTATTTCACAGCCATTTAATTTTTAGACTCTTTAAACATTGCTGAATCATTTTGCCAGCCTTGGGTAAAAGTGAAAAGTAGAATCTTCTGAATTTTTTTTTTTTCAGGAAGCCTGATATCTGACATTTGTAACTCAGGAGAAATTTGAAGTGATGTGCTACTTCTTTGAGTTGAATGTAAATTTTGAATTTTTAAAATTATTTATTATTACTATTTTATTGAGACAATGTGTCACTCTGTCACCCAGGCTAGAGTACAGAGGCACAATCGTGGCTTACTGCAGCCTTGACCTTCCAGGCTCAAGCAATCCTTCCACCTCAGCCTCCCAAGTAGCTGGGACCACAGGTGCATGCTACCATACCTGGCTAATATTCGTATATTTTGTAGAGATGGGATTTTTCCATGTTCCCCAGGCTGGTCTTGAACTCCTGGGTTCAAGCAAAGTACCACCTCAGCCTCCCAAAGTGCTGGGATTACAGGTATGAGCTACCATGCCCAGCTGAATTTTGAGTTTTTATTATGATTGTGGTGTAAAAGCCTTAATAATTTGGGGGCTTTATTATCTTTTGAGGAGGCTTGGTGTCTTAGTCCATTTTGGCTGCTATAACAAAATACCTTAGGCTGGGTAATTTATAAGCAACAGAAATTTATTGCTCATGGTTCTAGAGGCTGGGAAGTCCAAGATCAAGGTGCTGGCAGGTTTGGTGTCTGGTAAGGGTCTGCTCTGTGCTTTGTAGATGGTGCTTTCTTGCATCCTCAGTAGCAGAAGGGGCAAACGGCTCCATAACATCTCTTTTATAAGGTCATAAATACTGTTCATAAGGGCTTTGCTCTCATGACTTAATCACCTCCTGAAGGCCCCACCTCTTGATAATACTATCACATTGGCAATTAAGTTTCAACATATAAGTTTTTTTTGTGGTGGGGGGACACATTCAGACCATACCATTTGGGCAGGGAGGAGGGAGTCTTACTGTTCTCTTGAAGTCTTGCCTTGTTGATAGTTATCTGCCTTATATGTAACCTCTATCACCTCTAATGACTAGCTCTGGACTTGATATATAGTAGGTGCTGAATAAATGCTAATTATTAATGAAAAAATAAAATTGGCCCTGGGATCAGGATTCTCCAACAGACAGTAAACCCTTAAATGCAGAGACCACAAATATTAACTCTGTATCTCCAACTCCAGGCAGGGTGTTTAGCTGACATGCTCATTTTCTATTCACAAAGTTTATTATTTATAGTTTGCTGTGTTTGAGGGCAATATTTGTAGTTTTACTGTTAGGTTCAATGAGTATACCAGTTTCTCAAGTGAGTATCATGTGTGAACCCCAGTTCATTCTTATATACCCACTTCTTGATCCCTGTAGTCTAGTTTCTTCTCTCACAACTTTGCTGATCTGTTCTTCCTCCATCGTGCAGCCCCCAGCTCTCTTGGTATTAAGCCCATTCACAGTGTTGTGCAACCATCACCACTATCCATTTCCAGAAATTTTTTTGTCACAGCAAACAGAAAAAAAATTTCTGTCCTCATTAAAAAATCATTCCCATTCCACTCTCCCCACAACTGTCAACCTCTATTCTTTCTGTCTCTATGAATTTGCCTATTTTAAATACCTCATATAAGTGGAATTATACAATATTTGTCATTTTGTATCTTGTTTACTTCACTAAGCACAAGGCCTGGAGAGTTCATTCATGTCTTAACATGTATCAGAATTCCATTCCATTTTTGTGGCTGACTAATATTGCATTGTGTGTATACATCACCTTTTATTTATCCATTTATCTGTCAGGTACTTTCTACCTTTTTGCTATTGTGAATAATGCTGCTATGAACATTGGTGTAAACATATCTTTCAAGTCCCTGTTTTCAATGCTTTTGGGTATTTACCTTGTAGTGGAATTGCTGGATTTATATGATAATTATATGTTTAACTTTTTAATTTTAATTTTTATTTATTTATTTATTTTTAATGTTTAACTTTTTGATTAACCACCACCAAACTGTTTTCCACAGCAGATGTACCATTTTGCATTTCCACCAGCATTGCACGGGGTTCCAATTTCTCCATATCCTTGCCATTACACTTGTTGTTTTGTGTTTTTGTTTTTTTTTAATTTTATATATACATATGTGTATATATATATATATATATATTTCTAAAGGCCATCCTAATGAGTACAAAGTGGTATCTCATTGTGGTTTTAATTTGCATTTCCCTATTAATTACTGATGAGCATCTTTTCATGTGCATATTGGACATTTGTATATCTTCTTGGATGATCTGTTCTTAAAGCTACCAGTCCTGTCCTTCTAGTCAGAGTCAATGGTGGTCTTTTAGCTGTAAGTACCTCTGTACTTTCTTTCTCACTATCTATCTTAAGACAATCTGTTAGAGATCTAAAATTCTTGTCAAATACCTCCAGCTACCTCTCATACATCTGTCCTGGGATAGCTGGCTATTACTTTAGGCTCAACATATATGATGCTTAAATTGTCATCTTGGTCTCATTGCTGTCTCCTAATTTCTGTCCCTGTCTCAGTTTTTACCTTGACTTTATCTTTGGCTTTATCTATGTTTTCTCTATCTTTATTCTCTATATTCAACTACTCACCAGTTCTGCTTTATTCTTCTTGCACTTTTTTTTCAGAGTCTTGCTCTGTTGCCCAGGCTGGAGTGCAGTGGCACGATCTCGGCTCACTGCAACCTCTGCCTCCTGGGTTCACGTGTTTCCTTTGTCTCATCCTCCTAAGTAGCTGGGACTACAGGTGCGTGCCACCACACCTGGGCTAATTTTTGTATTTTTAGTAGAGACGGAGTTTCACCATGTTGGCCAAGATGGTCTCAATCTCCTAACCTCGTGATCTGCCCACCTCCTAAAGTGTTGGGATTACAGGCGTAAGCCACTGCACCCAGACCACAGTTTTTAACTTTATCCTGAAAAGATGCAAACTGAGATTCTCATGAATAGTGGACATACTTTCCATTTAATGATTAGGTCCTTTCTGAAAAGATTAAACTGTTTATATCTAAATGAGAAAGTCTATTGTGTTCTCTACTACAATGCCTTGCACACAAAAGGCATTAAATAAATATTTGTTGAATGATTTGGGTTCACTTTGAATATTGAGTGTTAGCATACAAGTCTGTAGTAGTTTGTTTAATTTCATCCTAACATAGGCTTAGGAGGAAAAAACAGTGAGAATTTCAGAAAAGATACAAGAATGTGTAGTTAACTTTTTCTGGCATGTACCACATACAGATGTCTTAAAAATTTAAGTTACAATTTGTGCTTTCTTTTCAAACCTTATATTTAAAAGGTTTTAAAAATTTAAAATGTGTCTAGTAGTGCTTACATTTGATATCAAATGTAAGTGACTAGTAATTCCATGTTCTCTGAATTCTTGATTTGTGTCCTGTGTCAGAGATTTGAGACTATTAAGAGGCGATTAGGGAGGATATCCTTGAAGTCTCCTTCACACCAAGAATCTCCCTTTTTTTTGGTTCACTTAACTTAATGTGGGAGTTGCTTGTGATATTTTCTACATTTCACCTTCCGAGGTTATAGGCCCCATTCATATGCCATATCTCCCTCTCAGATGAGTAAGTATGACTTTTATGAATTTTCTTCACTTGTAGAATTTAATTTACATGAATAATTAGGAAAGGACCAAGTGAAATTTCTCTCTCCCTAGGCAAACAATCTTGTTAATAAAATCGACTGCAAACTTTTCCTTTAATTTTTTTTGTATCTTTAAATTTATTGCTTGCTACAAAGAAGCAAAATAAAAAGAAATATAGGGCGCTACAGCATACTGCTATTTTGCATATTGATATCTGAATAATTACCTTAGGGCATATTGAATTATAATATGAAATACTATTCCCTCAAGACATTATCTTAAAATATTTTACTTATTTAGCATACAGTTCAATATTTTAGAATTATGTAGAGAGTATAGTCGTTAACTGACATGGAATGCGCTGGCAGAAACAAAAAATTAGAGGGACCTAATAGAGAAAAGGGATTGTTCTTGGAATGTTACAGTATTTAAATACTGTTGCAATATAGTTGGTCAATTATAATAGCCAACATTGTAAGAGAAGAAGGTTGTAATTCTGTATAGGTGGTTAATATGTGCATATTTTTCCTTTAAAGTGTATTTCACATGGAGTTTGTTTGATATTCAGACCTGTAATCATGTATTTTACAGTTCCCTTTGCACACAGCCTGCAGTGGGGTATTCTTTTACAATACAAAGGCTGGAAATAGATCCCAAAAGAATAGTGCCCGAAAATGAAGAACTGTAGTTTCTGGAGGAAAATGCTCATAATGTGACCCAATAGTCAGCTTAGGAATTGAACACCACAAAACATGGTGTGGAAGGCAGGTTGGCCTGGTATTATGTACTCTGGTGCCTGCATCTTAGTTGCTATGATGAGTCTAGCTGAGATGTGTGTTCTCTAACAGCCTAGACCAGAAGGAAAGTCCACCAATGGCAGAAACACTGTGGCCAAGCTGGACATAGTGAGGCTTTAGTGTAGCTTTGAGTTTTGTGATTCCACTGACTGTGTGACTGTGACCAAGTTATTTAAACTCTTTAACTCCCCATTTCCTTACCTGTAAAACTAACTGTGTGAATTAAATGGAGTCATGCCAGAAAAGTACATGTTTTGTTTCCTGATGTTATTATTATTGTTGCTGTAATGAGGCCAGATCTTTATGTTCCTAGAAACAAATTTGCTACTGGTATACTGTTAACTGAAACTGTTAAAACCTGAAACTGAGGCTGAGACAGGAAGATTGCTTGAGACCAGGAGTTCAGGGCCAGCCTGGGCAACAAGCAAAAGACCCTGTCTCCATTGAAAAAACAAAAAACATTAGCTGGGAATGGTACTGCATGCCTGTAGTCCCAGCTACTTGGGAGGCTGAGGTAGGAGGATTGCTTGAGCCCAGGAATTCGAGGCTACCATGAGCCATGATGGCATCAATGCAGACCAGCCTGGGCAACAGACCCTGTCTCTAAAAAAGAAAAGAAAAGACTAAAGAAAACAAATCAAACCCAAACAAAAAACCAGCATTGATTCCAGAAGAAAAGATAAAATGAAAACAAATCTTTATTTTATATGTGAAGTCATGAAGTGTGTTTTCTTTTCTTTTTCTTTTCTTTTTTTTCATTTTTTTCAAGCAATTGTCTGAAATTTCTATAACCTTGCTCTGGATGGAGCAGGACAAACGCTCCACTATTTCAATACTGTTCTGGCAAGCAGTGTAGGAATGCACACATCACCACAGACCCACGCACGCTGGAGGCTTGCCAGTATTTGCTTTTAAAACTGTTTTTGATATGCCTTCTTTTAGAAAATTAAAGATTATGCATATTTGTTTATAAAACAGTTTTTGTCATGAGGCCATTCTGTGACCAAGAATGTATCTTACTCACCTTGTTTATCATAAAATTGGTCAGTTTCTGTGTGTTAAAACACTGAACTAGCTATGTCTCACTTTCTGCTGTTTGAAGGGAACAGGACTATTACCCCAATTTTGCAGATGAAGAAACCTACATACAGATTAAACAATGTGATTGATATTTTATACCAGGTTAATGGCAAAGCAAAAATGGGGTTGAGCTTCTTTCTATCCTTGATCTCATAGGCTTTATCACATTTCATATTGCCACTATAAAAAAGAACCTCAGGCTGTTTGTAAGCATGAAGAACTAAGTGATGGGTATTTAGCATCTCTTGTGCTAACTGACCAAAAACTGAATTGACTTCTACTACATTATCAAATTATTTTTACAAAATGGGTATATTGGACTTTCTCATCTATTAATGCTATTGCCAGTGCCTTCTCAATTGCAGCAGCAAGATGGCAAAAGGAAATGTAAGTTGTCATGCATTAAAAATCAATTGAAATGACGTTTCAACCTTCAATTGCAGCAAATTCTTTGAGAGAAGGAAATGAAATCCTCATGATAGCAGTGATAGTGATGTCCGTTGCTGCTTTTCTAATTAATTAAATGCATGATTCTTAAGCCCTGCCAAGTGTATATTTTTATTTTGCTATCTGAATATCCCCTTTCTTTGACCTTTCCTCTCTTTTCTATACTTCATTTCTTATGCACCTGCTCCATCTATGGCTTAGCTCCTTTTGTCACAGAGGAAATGTATTCTAAATTAATGTACATTTAGGTTATTTAAACATTTTCATATTAATTGAAGACCAAGTAATGCTAGACCCAAAGAAATAAATCCCTAATAGTGTGATTTCAGGCACTGTGCTACTTGAATGGGAAAAATATTTTGCTGCTGGCATGGTCTTTAGGAACACCTCAGATCACACCCACTTTCTTTCTCTATAAGGCTGTCTCTGCTTTTACCTGTTTCCTGGGTAGATGTGTTTGACTGTGATTCTGGAGAGATGCTTATTTGGCACAGGTTCCCAATATAACGGGGAGTGAGAACTTGTGGTTAACTACTATTTTAGAAGAATGACTAAAGTGCAAAGTCAGCAGAGGAGAGACTAATGAAATAGGCCTGTGTGTAGATGGAAAAGGCTTGGCAGATACATGAAATGGGTTAAAGGCCATGCTCTCAGAGAGTAATATGAAGGCAGGCATGAAAATGGGTGGCAAGTTTAGAAGCTGTCCAAAGTCTGATGTGGTGGACATGTGTGGGGATAGATGGGAATGACCGATTGAAACCAGATTGTGGAGGATTTTAAACACCATGCCAAAGCATTTGGACTTGAGTCTGTAGACAATGGGGCTCTGCAAGATTCTTCAATCTGTGTCTCCATAGCCACTTGACCTCCTCACAGGAGCTCTGCAGTACCCCAGAATGGCAGGAAAAGTATATTTGGAATCAGAATACTTGGATTCAAAACCTCTTAAAGACTGTATGATCTTGGGCAAGTAATTAAAACAGAACTGGTGACCTAGTCCTCTTGCTTGTCAAAAGTCCTTTGACAGTGTTGCATATTGGAGTTCAAATTGATATGGTCCAGTTAAGTAGGTTGTGACAATGCATGCTAGAGCCAGGGCTTGGAACTAATCCATTTCAAGAGGGTGGGTGAGATGGTTGAGCTTTGTGTCCCAGTCCAAATCTCATCTTGAATTGTAATCGCCATAATCCTCGTGTGTCAAGGGAGAGAACAGGTGGGGGTAATTGAATCATGGAGGCAGCTTCCCCCACACTGTTCTCGTGATAGTGAGTGAGTTTTCATGAGATCAGATGGTTTAAAAAGGGGTTCTTTTCCCTTTGCTTGGCACTTCTCCCTCCTGCTGCCTTGTGAAGAAGGTGCTTTGCTTCCCCTTTGTCTTCTGCTATGATTGTAAGTTTCCTGAGGTCTCCCCAGCCATGCTGAACTGTGAGTCAATTAAACCTCTTTCCTTTATAAATTACCCCGTCTTGGGCAGTTCTTTATAGCAGTATGAAAACAGACTAATACAGTGGGGCACGAATGAAGCATGGGAGCTGGAGAAAGGCTCTGTTGGTGAGCAGATCAGATGATCTAGAAGATATGGCAATAGATACCAACTCAAATCTCATCTCCTCTGTAAAACAATCCTAAAATCAGTTACTGGCAGCCATCTCTGGGCTTCCAAAGCTTGTTCTATATGCCTTTATTATAGTAGCATCCCACCTGCCTTTCAAACTAAGTAATAAAAAATCTCCAGAAACCCAGGTATCTTTTTTCTTGTTAGATTGATTCTTCTTGTTCTGCTGAGAAGCCTCTTGGCTTCCCTGTCCCAAGACATGACAACTCAAAATTTATAGGATTTGCAGTTCTAACCACTGACAGTGACTAATTGGCTGTCTAAGAATCTCAGTTTCAGATTCTCTAGAGAAAGCACAGCTTGTGGGTCAATCAGATTTCAGATGTCTATCCCAGTCCAGTCCACTTTGTCCAGGGGAATGGAGACACATAATCCCTATCTGTCTGTACAGGACCACACTGTGAATGAGTAACAGTTCTCAGGGCAGGGAAAACCAGTGCCTGGGATGGACATACACTATAAAGGGTTTCCACTACATTGATTTTGTGCTTCTTCAAGGCTAGGGACTGTGTTTCATTGATATTTTTGTCACTAGCACTTTGTGTACCATTTTGTACATATCTAATAAACATTGATACATTTTCGTTGAATAAATAAATCACTCCTGGCTAACATCAGAATTGCTCTTAACAATAATTAATATTTTCAGAGATTTTTATATAAAACACTTTCACAATCCATTCATTACATCCTCCCAATGATCTTGTGAGTGACTAGATTTATAATTCATTTTTGAGAGGAGGAACTGAGGCTACAGATCATGAACCAAGTGACAATGTGGAACACACCAGAGTTGAGCCATATTGAGGTCTGGAGAACCAGTTAGAAGAATACTGGAAAAGTATAGTTTGGACGTGAGGGTCTGGTTCAGGGCAGCGCCAGTGTGAATGGAAAGCTGAGGAAAGATTCTAGAGACATTACTCTAATGTCTTTAAAGTTAATGTCTCTGAAGAAAACAAAACTAAACAAAATTAAACAAAAATACCTTACTGAAAGATAGTTGCAGGTATTTAGCTAACTGCCTCTATTGTAAACTTTTCTTTTTTATTAATGCATAATCCAAATATAACCAATCTGTCATGAGCAGAAACTAAATCTATGCATGTTAAGTTCAGAAGAATAGGAGACATTCCTAAAGTTAAAACTCTTAGGAATTCATGACCAGTTTGTCGTCAAGAGAGGGACTAGTATACATCATCAAGCAAAGCAGCATCTATGTACATTTGAAAAATAGTGCCTATATATGAAGACATAATATTTAGTTAAAGAACAATACCATGGGTGGGCGTATGGAATTTCTACTCTCTTATGAGACCTAATAGTCTCCCAGGGTCTCACAGCCCTGAGATTGAGAATTAGTGAGGTAAGTATTAAGGATCTCACATACCAAAAATGAACATTGGATTGATCAAGGAAAAACAACCAAACAACAAATTTTAAAATGAGAGACAAATGGCAACTGACTAGTAGTGGGAATGAGTAAGGATCCAACTGCAGGTCAAAATAAGAATACTAAATTTTTGGCTCAAATTCTTGAGCAACATTATGGCTATCAATAATCCTGCAAAAGTCACTAATTTAGAATCCTTTCCTGAGTTTTGCAATTAACCAGAATTTTAACTGTCCTGTTTATGTAGGTTCACTAAGATTAGGGAAATGCTTATGGCTCTAACTCCAGTTTGAAATTCTTAATGTGTTGGGCTGGGCACAGTGGCTCATGCCTGTAATTCCAGCACTCTGGGAGACTGAGGTGGGTGGATCACTTGAGGTCAGGAGTTCAAAACCACCCTGGCTAACATGGTGAAACCCCGTCTCTACTAAAAATACAAAAAGTAGCCAGTCATGGTGTTGGGCACCTGTGATCCCAGCTACTTGGGAGGCTGAGGCAGGAGAATTGCTTGAACCCAGGAGGCAGAGGCTGCAGTGAGCTGAGATTGCACCACTGTACTCTAGCCTGGGTGACAGAGTGAGACCCTGTCACAAAAAAAAAAAAAAAAAAAAAAAAAAAGAGAAATTCTTATTGTGTCCACACACAGGGTTGTGTCTTTAGAAACGACAATACTAATGTGTATTGGGTGCTTCATATGTGCCAAGCCCTGGACTAATCACTAACACATCTTATCTCCTTTAATCTTCAAAGCAGGACTTTGAGATTGATGCTCTTACTATTCCCATTGTACAGACCAGGAAGCCGAGGGGCAAAGAGGTTAAGTGACTTAACGTTACTTGGCTATTAACTACCATGACTGGATTTCAAACCTGTTTATTTGACACTAGAAGCCAAATGCTAAAATGCCATATCATATTGGGAGGAGTCTATGTCTCCTACCTCCAGATCTGTACTCATGACTGCTGTCATGCTATGTTTTATGTAACTCTACTTATGAAGTCTTGTTAGTTCCAGTGTGATCGAGGTTGAATGAACTAGAGAAGATGTATATTTCAATGCTTTCTATCCCATGAGGATAGGAAACATGATCATGTCTAAGATTATGAAAATGTTGACTTCTATAAAAACAAGGATAAATATTGTAATAAAATAAAAAATATTCTGATTTTCATTTAAAAATAGCTTGATGACATGCCTCTCCTATTTATCTGAATGCAACATGCATAGATTTAGTTTCTGCTGATGACAAATTGGTTATATTTGGATTATGCATTAATTAAAAAGAAAAGTTTACAATAGAGGCAGTTAGCTAAATGCCTGCAACTATCTTTCAGTAAGATGTTTTTGTTTGATTTTGTTTAGTTTTGTTTTCTTCAGAGGTGATGGGAACAATAGAACTTTCTGGATAATTTACTGGAGTTTTATTTCATTTATGGAATACCAAAGTAAAGTAATAAAATAAATAACAAAATATATCTTGAGCTTTAGACACACTTCTAAAACAAAATGTATTTAAAAAAACATGGCCATGTATGCCTACTTTTCAATTTGAATAATAATTTACAATCAAGTTGTGAAGTCCTAAAAATAGGCAAAACATTGCGTTAAGAAATGAATACTGGTATTATTTATCAGGTGACTACTGATTATCTTTTGATGAAGAGGAAAAGAAAAGATTAAAGAGCTATTTCACAATGACAATTAGACAAAATTTTCTGAAATTTAGTCTTTAAAATCTTCTGTGGAGTCAAGATAGTAAAGGTTAAAATTAAATACAAATATTTGAAAGATATTTTGGCCACTTTCCCCAGGAAATAAGGTAATAAAAATAAAGTGGAAGACATAGAAACAATGATAACATAATAATTTGTTTGTCCTGATCACTTGTTTGCTTTCAGTAATTTTTAAAAGATTGATGAGTCTGTATCTTTGTACTTCAGCGACAAGCAGATTCATGACAATCATTAGTTTCCTGTGGTGTTGTTATATCAGGTATATTTTCATCAGGACTGCTGGTGAAATTATCAACCATAATATTAAGATTGGAATAAACAAGAGAGTCTTTCCTTACACAATCAATTCAAGTTTTTATTTCATTAAAGTGTAAGATGGTAATGTCACTGAATTGCTATCTAGGCTATTACCAGTCTGTGTTAATAGTCTTAATTTATCAACATTTATTTTAACCTTTGCTATAAATACCTGAAAACAAAGCTGACATTTATTAATTTTTAAGGTTAAAAAAACTAATATTTTTTGCCTGAGTTCTTTTATCACAGTATGTTCTTAGCAGAAGTTTAAGTTTTTGAAATCTTTTTAAAAAATGTATGTCTTCTTTATAAGTCCAACCTGTTTCTTGAATATTTATATATGTATGTGACTTCTAAACAAAACCTATGATGAAGCAGTGTGCTATAAGCTGAAGTGTAGCTCTGGAAGGAGCCTGGGCTCTTGATATAGAAGACCTGGATTTGAATATTAATTCTGCCCACTAAAAGACAAATAACTTTGGGTAACAACTTCTCTAAGCCTCACTTTCCTCATCTCTGCAATGGGAAAATAATACATGTCTTTTGGGCATCTATAAAATAGCAGTACTTATTATGTAACTTACAATTTAACTACACTACAATGACTAAAGGCAATGTGTACTTTAAAGATTTTTTTTTGGCCATGTGGTTTTGAGGTCAAGCAGATGTCTACTTCTCTAAATGTGAGTAACTCAGTGCAAAACAGGCCCTGAGTTTTTGCAGGATTAGTGTGCCAATGCCATCCTGCCACCCTAGTTCATTGGTCAAAAAGAGTAAAAGTGAAATCTAAATCACTGCAAATTGCTTGATGTTTATTTGATGACATAACGTTAATTAGGAGCCTCCATTTTCGTTTACACTCAGCTATGAAAATTGGAGGCGAGTTGTCGTACAACATATTCTTTAGTCCACTGTTAGTACAGGCTCTGCTACCTCAACACACTCTCAAATATTTCATGGAGAAATAAATGAATACATAAGGGTGTGGGTGGCAGAGTCTTAATGTAGGTACTGGATCCATCTGGTGAAATGTTTCATCCAAATCTTCCTTGGAAGACATTATGCTCCATGGGGAGAGGGGCTTTCTGGCCAAAATGATTAGTTAGTGTCCCGTGAAGCCTAAAGCTGTTTGACTGTTTCCCTGGGCTTCCTCCCACAATTTTACCCATGTCTTCTGATACGTCATTGGTACGGTGTGTCTTACTTTATGAGAGTTAAGTAATCATGTTCTTGAGATACGAGTAACAGATAAAATCCCTAAATATCTTTACAAGGAAAAGGAACCTTGGCTATTGCGTCCCAGCTCCCTCTGCTTCTTTTTGGGCAATGGGGTTTTAAATCAATCCTGCAGCCTGGCATTGGAATAAGTTTGAAAGCCAGGAAATCAAGCATAATAGCAGAGGCAAAGGATTATATTAATTTCTAATCAGATTTCTTCCCTTTCAGAACCAGCTTACATATAAATATATACAGAAGACCTTAAAAAGATATTTGAAGTTCATTCATTAAAAAAAGTTATTGAGAGTCTACTATATGCCAGCTCTCATGCTGGGCTCTGTAAATGACACTGATTTTATTCTTAAAAGTGATTAAGGGCCGGGTGCGGTGGCTCACATCTGTATTCCCAGCACTTCAGGAGGCCGAGGCGGGCGGATTGCCTGAGGTCAGGAGCTCGAGACCAGTCTGGCCAACATGGTGAAACCCTGTCTCTACTAAAAATACAAAAAAATTAGCCGGGCGTGGTGGCATGCGCCTGTAATCCCAGCTATTCAGGAGGCTGAGGCAGGGGAATTGCTTGAACCAGTGGGGTGGAGGTCGCAGTGAGTGGAGATTGTGCCACGGCACTCCAGCCTGGGTGACAGAGCGGGACTTCCGTCTCAAAAAAAAAAAGTGATTAAGGTACAAAAATATATATAACATATTTAGGTATAGAGTTTTAAATACTACAAAAGAAGCAGATAAAGTGATCAAGGAGTTCAAGGATGAACATCAAATACCACACATAGTGCCAGGCACATAATGAGGTATTGGATAAAATTTCATTTCATTCTTTCTTCTTTCCTTTACCTGTGGGAAATCTGTGTGTGTGTGTGTGTGTGTGTCTGTGTGTGTGTGTGTAAAGGAGCAATGAAATACTTTATGAAAAAAGTGATTTACTGGCTTTGGATATTAGATGATAGGTAAAAGGCATCCTAGGCAAAAGAAATAGTATACATTAACAAATAGAGGAAGGAATCGTATGTGGGAAAATCCAGTTGTTTAGTTTTCTGGAGCACAGGTTTGTGATGAGAGTTGTGAGAAATAAGGTGAGAGGGAAGGTTAAGGACTGCATTGGTGTTAAAGTGAGTATTCTCTGCATATCTCACAATAATATCAACTCTGGCAATATTTATAAGTTTGTATGTCTGGAAAAAATGTAAGCTTCTATACAAATTAAGTGAGGATTTATGTATTGAAAAAACACTGGTTTCCAATTTTTATTTGCCGGAAATCCAGAGAACTACATGACTGGTGAAAACCAATGAAGCATTTAAAAAGTTTCATGCCAAAAATACCGGACAGATCACTTCTAAGACTTAGATGTTGCCCCAGTGTATCCATCAGGATAGACTGTTACGCTGCAATAACAAACCCCAAATCTCTGTGGCTTAATCCACTATAGTTTCTTTCTCAATTATACAAAGTGTGCCATCCTACCAGTGTGGATCTAACATTCCAGGCTGCTTTAATGTTATATCTCTTCCTGATTTAAATGTTCTCTCATGTTTTCTTTTTCTTTTTTTTTTTTTTGGAGACAGAGTCTTGCCCTGTCGCCCAGGCTGGAGTGCAGTGGCACAATCTTGGCTCACTGCAACCTCTGCCTCCCAAGTTCAAGCGATTCTCCTACCTCAGCCTCCTGACTGATTAGCTGGGATTACAGGTGCGTGCCACCATGCCCAGCTAATTCTTCTGTATTTTTAGTAGAGATGGGGTTTCACCATGTTGGCCAGGCTGGTCTTGAACTCCCAACCTCAGGTATTCCACCCACCTCGGCCTCCCAAAGTGTTGGGATTACAGGCGTGAGCCACTGTGCCTAGCCCTCTCTCTTGTTTTCTATGGCAAGGAAAGAGTAGGCTGGACAATGAAACAGCAGCAATTAAATGCTTCCACGTGGGCACACGTCACATATCATGTCCACCTACATTTCATTGGCCAAAGCAAGTCACTTGGTCCTGCCCGACTATTTATCTTTCATGTTGTTTCTTTCTGGAAGGTAAAGATTTCATTTTGTTTATATTTTTTGCCCAATGCCTGGCAAATGGTAGAAATTTGATAGATGCTTTTAATTTTATTTTTCTTTTAACTATTTTATTACGTAAGTACTGCATGATCAAAGTGAGCATTAAAACTACACAAAGCCAAATAAAATGGAACATGAAAGTACCCCTTCTCAGAATGTTTCAAGAATAAATGAATGTAAGATTGATTTCAAACTCTTTAAAACAACATACAAATTTTTTACTCTCTGGCCCCAATGTATCTTTTCACTCAATTTTTTCAGCATTTACTCACATAGATTATTTTCTATTAAATACATTACCCAAATATTATATCCATTCACACTACTGTACCCTTCACTTACTATTTTCTTTGCCTACAATTTTCATTCACTTTTTCCTCTACTGGTCTAACTTCCTTTGTGAAGCTTTTTGGACTCTTCTTGACAGTGCTAATGCCCTCTATGCTCTTGTAACACCTTGGACAGATGTCATCTTTCTCGACTCTTAGCCCCTCAGTTTCTTAAAGGCAGCTAAGTGCTTATTCATCTTAAATAGCCAGTACCCTTTTCAGGTACTGGTACAGAGGAAGTGTTCCATCATCTGGTTCACCATTCCCTTGTATCTTTAATATTTCTTTATCTGTTTGCTTCTTCTCATCAGCTTATATATGCTCTCAATGATTTCTCATTCTGCAGAAAGTCCTCACCTGATCTTCTAATCACAGTTTTAGCTCTCTTCTTTACTGTGTCTTGAAATGTCTTCAAAGAGCTGGCCGTACTTCCTGTCCCTACTCTTTCACTTCTCATTCATGCTTGGACACACTGCTACCTGGTTTATGCTTTTACAACTTCACAGAAATGACCTAGGAAATCTAACAAATGATCTAAATGCCAAATCCAATTGCAGTGTTTCAGTTCTTAATTTAAATGTCTCCTCCAATGTATTTTTAAAAATTGAATTAAAATAATTGAATTAAAGTCATATTTGCACACAATAATGTAGTTATCTACTGCTTTTCTCTCTTCTCCATCCCAATTCCTACGTTGATTGGGATCCAGTGTAATTTCCCTTCACTTTTTTACTCTTGTTACGTGTTAAATGCTGGGATTTAGGTTGAGTGAAGTCTAGCCTGAGGAAAGAAGTCATAGGACAAGAAGAAATGACATCCAAATGTAATGTGTTAGGTTTGGAGAACAAAAACAAAAACACAAGAAATGAACAAAAAACTAAAGTCTGTGCTATATGCAATTGTGATAGTATGAGCAAATAGGAACTGTTGGTCAGTGTACCTAAGATTTAGAGGGCATGGCTGAGTTAAATCATAGCTTACTAGGCTAAACAGCCTTGGTTTCAAGTGATTCTTTTGAAGTGGAGAATTTTGTAGTGAGAAAAGGGAATTTATGGCATAGAAAACAGATTATTTATACACTATGTAAGAATCTTGTAGACAGCATTCAAAACAGTCCAAAGGCATCTGCCTTTCAGATGTGCAGGGAAACTATAACTTCTCCAGGTACCATTACATGGTTGTGTGAATTTTCCATTGGTGTTACAAATAATAGAACTTATGAGGGAAATGAAATTGATAAACACCATGCAATTGAGATTTTGAAAATCTACATTTTAAAGACTGCATTTAGAACTGAAGCTGAAGACAGAGTGAGAACTCTCATACTGTTGTGAGAAGCTAAAGTGTACTAGGGTAGGACTGTGGGTTTGGAACAAATGTAATCTAAAAACAAGCAAGGGCAATTAAAGAAGAGGATTCATACTGACATTTCAAATGCCTCCTGGAAATCCAGTAGAACTTTCTAGTCTTATCTCCCACTGCTGCCTCTTACACTCTGTTGCTTCAGCCAAACTGGACACTCTTGTAGCTTCCCAGTTGATACAAAGTTCTGAAAATTTTAGACCTCTCTTCCTATTACATTTACTACCATATTAGTGTTTTAATATCCTTAGAAACTTGGAATAAACTTAAAAGCAAATGTAGTTTCACATCTTTGTCATTTGTCTGTATGATGATTTGTCTTTGTTTGTTAACTCTTCCTCTTGAATTTCAAGAATTAGTTACTTATTCATTATTATCATTGACATTTCCTGTGCTTTCATTTGTTTCTCTACCACTGACTGTTTCCTCAATTTCATTATTATCAAACAGCCCTTCTGTGATAGACTGCTGTTCCCCATCTTCATATTGATTAATTTCATTTTCACATGCATCATTCTGATTTCCAACATCTTCAGAACAGTCTTCAGAAGATGAGTCATTTGCAAAGACAGATTTTCATTAGTGGAGTCATCCTCAGAGTCAGAATGTGATGGTCTGTTCGCAGGAATATTGTTTGCTCCTCTGTGTCTTTCATTATCTCTTGGAAGGGATGTGCCTGATGTACTTGCTTGGTCATTATCCAAGTAATTAAAATCAAATGTACTTATTTTGTAGATTAAACAAGAACATTCTTTATTATGATTGTTTGCAATTGAAGCTTCAGGGACACTTTCGGCTGGATATTACATTAAATATTATGTTCCATTTAAATTAAAACATTTAATCAGAAATTCTGAAAAGCAAGATATGTAAGCGAATGCCTCATATGTTAAAATCATGAGATGCAGTGCCACTGTAATATTCTTTCATGAATTTAATATACAACAAATAAAAAGTTTAAGAGATTATCAATGCTGATTATAGATTCTAGTCACTGGCATTGTTATGGTTCTCTCTCTCTCTCTCTCTGTGTGTGTGTGTGTGTGTGTGTGTGTGTGTGTGTAAATTTCCAAAGAGCTTATAAGCTGTTATATAACCGTGTTATAAAAGCACTGCGGTCCTTTAAAATTTTTAATGAATTTTTCCCCTATGGTAGGGACATTTTCTTTTTGTCAGCAAGGACATTTTGGACAATTAATTGATTAAAATACCTATGTAAAAACATGCAATCTGATAACTAAGTGGGTACCAGAAGAAGATGAGAAGATAAATTATTTTGGGTACCCCAGAGCTATGAGGCCTACAAAATGTGCCTGCTATCTTAGATTAGGTAAGCAGGGAAGTTGGTGATGGGGTGCTCTGGGGATCACATAAAAATGTATTTCAGGAGCAAGAAAAGCTTAGGGGCCTGCAGGAGAAAGCCTAGTGGACCTGGTACTCCACAGATATCATGGGAAAGATAGCCTTATTTATTTATTTATTATTATTTTTTGAGACAGGGTCTCATTCTGTCACCCAGGCTGAAGCACAGTGGTGCGATCATGGCTCACTGTAGCCTTGACCTCTCACGCTCAGGTGATTCTCCTACCTCAGCCTTCCTAGTAGCTGGGACTACAGGTGTGCATCACCACACCTGGGTACTTTTTTGTATTTTGTGGTAGAGATGGGGTTTTGCTATGTTGCCCAGGCTGGTCTCAAACTCCTGGGCTCAAGCAGCAATCTGCCTGCCTCGGCCTCCCAAAGTGCTGGCATTATAGATGCTTGTCCTTATTTAAAGTAGGCTGGTAAGTATTGTACCTTACAAGTTTAAGAGCCAGAAGAAGTAAGATGGTAGAACTTGCACATGCAGGACTTTCTGAGCTATTCTCTCTGCTGCTGCCTCCAAGGCAGTGAAACACCCCCCGCAAGCCCCTGCCCCATCTGGGCTAGTAAAAATCCTGGCATTGTGAAGTGAGTCACTAGAAGAGGGGACAAAGAAAGAGCTGTGAAAATGTAAGATTTTAGTGGGATCGGCATAAAAAGCAAACACTACAGAGATGTACCCAGCCCTCTTATGTGGCAAGAGTCGTGCCAGGAACTGTTCAGTTCTGCTAGCTACACAGCAGGAAGGCAGAGTTAAGTCAGAGGAATTGCTACAAGGTACAGCAATTGCAGTTGCAGTCTTGGGACAACATGGAGCAAGCCCAGCCTTAAGCCTAGTGAGGGACAAGGGAAACTGATTCTCAGCCTTCAGTCCCATGAACACCAGATGTCCCATAGGTCTGGCAGCTGCAAGGAGGGAGTTTTTAGCTAATATTTGAAAAAGTGCTGTTAGTGAGGGATACTATAGGTAAGTGAAAAATTAACCCATCACTGGTGTGTCAAACCAAATATCTTAGTTTAGGGTGCTGTAACAAGAATATTATCAACTGAGTGCCATAGGCAACTAACATTTATTTCTCACAGTTCTGGAGGATGGAACCGAGATCAGAGTGCCAGCATGGTTGGGTTTTGCTGAGGACTACCTTCCTGGCTTATAGACAGCTCTCTTCTTGCTGTGCCTCACATGGCAGAGAAAAAAATAGAGAGAGGGTGACAGAGAGAGAGAGAGAGCATGCAGAAGTTATCTTTTAAGAGCACTTTTAAGGCTGGGTGCAGTGGCTCATGCCTATAATCCCAGCCCTTTGGGAGGCCTGGGTGGGTGGATCACCTGAGGTCAGGAGTTTGAGACCAGCCTGGCCAACATGGTGAAACCCCATGTCTACTAAAAATACAAAAATCAGCTGGGTGTGGTGGTATGCACCTGTAATCCCAGCTACTCAGGAGGCTGAGGCAGGAGAATCACTTGAACCTGGGAAGTGGAGGTTGCAGTGAGCCGAGATTGCACCACTGCACTCCAACCTGGGCAACAGAGTGAGACTCCATCTCAAAAAAAGAAAAATAAACAATAAAGAGCACCACTCCCATCATGAGGGATTACCCTTGTTACCTAATTACCTACTGAAGACCCTGCCTCGAAATACCTTGACGATGGGGATTGGGGTTTCAACATATGAATTTTGGGAGGACAAACATTCAGTCCACAGGACCAGGTAATGCTGTCCTCCAACTGGTGGTTTTGAAAGTAGTTGTTTAATGGAGAAGAGTTTTGTAGACGAAGAGGGAACATAGGCACTCTCTTCTCTCTTCTGGGGAAGACAGGCCCTCAGTGGATTGTATTTTTAGAGCCTGAGCTGGCCATACTGTTTCTGAAAGGTTGGGTTTGGCCCTGGTATTATAAGAGGGTTCTTGACACTGCCCAGGCCTGGTGGTAACTCAGGTAACAGAGAACCTATGGCAACTTGAGACTATTGGGGCTTTGGAGGTCCTATTTGATATTTATGCCTCTTTCTTGATTTATCATTTGGATTTGTGTTTATTCACTAGAGCACTTTAGGACTTCTTTTGATTTTTTTGACTAATTTATTTTTCAGTTAATTTCCTTTTGTGCTATTTACTAGATTTATCCTCTCAGTCCACCTGTGTGTGTGCGTGTGTGTGTGTGTGTGTTTGTGTGTGTGTGTGTGTATCAGCAGGATAATGTATATTTTAAAATAAATTCTAATTTTGAAAAAAGCAATTTTACTTTTTTAGAAAAACTAAGTACAAGTTCTAAGGTTGTGTATTTAGATTTTAATGACATCTCTTTAAACTATAATTCTACTGTGTGTAGTAATTTCATGCATATCACACAACTCAGATCATTTATGAGTTTACTCAGAGTTATTTACTCTAATAAAAGACAAAAACAATACAAATATTTTGTGTTATATTATACCACATATAATACTCTTTCCCTTCTCTAAACAAGTTAATCTTATTAAAAAATCACTTCTCAGTAACCGTTGTGGAGAAATGGATTGCCTTAGTGTGATTCCATTGTTAATTAATGAGAAAAATGAAGCTGACAAAACAAAAGACAGTGTCTGTGTCTGAGAGAGGCTATTGAAGTAAGTGGAGAAAGTACAGAAGTTTCCCAAAGAGTACCCTCTACACAACCCAGACATTCAGGTCAAAAAACATTAGCTGATTTGCTACAAATTATAATCGTTTTGGGAAATAGAAAGGAAAATGCAAGAAACATTGCAAAAATAAAAATCAGTCACTGCTACAAATGTTATTTCCTTATCTTGTTCTCAGCCATTTTACTTTTATGATAAAATTTAGAACATATGTTTTGGTAAAATACTGTCTTCTATTTTTAAAAATCACACAAAACTGATGGTAAAGCACTAGTTTAATAATCCATCCCTCCTCACTGTCTATTTAAAACTGTTCTTTGTTTCAAGGTCCCATTGAAATAAAACAGAATGAAATTAGTGACCTTCATACCAGCTTCCTAACCAGCTTCTGGCAACAGACCCAGCCATCAGTCTGTCAATATCCTGTGCAGTTTCAGATTTCATTTGAAAAAAAAACACATCAGTTTCTTTCCATAAACATCGTATTTCAATTGTTTCTTTTAAAAAAGCTAATTACATTTATACATGTTACATACAAATAAAGATGTATTTTGTTGGTAAGCTTTCTGCAGAAGTGGAGCTTGATTAGAAATGTTCATTTGAGGCATATGGAGAAAGCTGCAATAGTGAAGCAAAATATTTATAATTCTTCCCTGTTTGGTTTAGATTTGTCAATCTTTTTCCTTCTTTACATAAAACAACATCTTGCATACAAACTGTTTAAAGTTGAAATAGTAGCATTCCAAATGTAGCCAGAGAAAGGAAAATACAGTCAAATTTAGAAAGAAAAATGTAGGCTAATGAGAAAAAACGCTTTGAGATAAGATTTGTAATTAGGGGAAGGTCTTAAAAGATGAGGAATTGCTAGTTTTCCTACGAGTGGGAACAGAGAAGACTCATGTACACAGCTAAGTCTTTACATTTTAATTTTTCTCTTAAATTTAAACTAGTTTGTTTGGCACCTAAGTCTTCTTTTTCATTCTCAATGTTCCCATCTTTTCATGATGTTCTTTAAAAAAAATCCCCATCCTTATTTATTTTCTTGTCTGGCTTCAAGAGTGAAACATTAAAATTTTGTTGTTATAGTAAGACTGTGTCTCTATAAAAAATTAGCCAGGCCAAGTAGTCCTAGCTACTTGGGAGGCTAAGACCGGAGGATCACTTGAGCCCAGGAGGCTGAGGTTGCAGTGAGCTGTGATCATGCCACTGCGCACCAGCCTGGGTGACAGAGCAAGATTGTTGCTAAAAAAAAAAAAGAAAACAAAAATAAAAATAAAACTTTTGTTCTTTTAAAAGCTATCTTTAGTCATTTCTAAAGAGAAGATGTCAGAAAACTGTTGAAATTGTGTCCCACAAAGTCAGAAGCTGTTTGGTTTCAGTTGTACCAACAAGTAATGCCTGCTTTTCAGCAGTGGATTTTGTATTAGTGAATTCCTTAGGGTGTGGCACATTTCTTCAAAGCCAAATTTCCTGAAATCACAAACATTTTATTATTTCCTTTCATCTTTCATGACTTTGCATTTCCACCCCTGTACTATTTATGATCCCTGGACTCTTAGATGTTTCCTTACTGTGACCTTAAAATTGCTTATCTTCCACACTAATTTCTTTGTATTTGGTCCAGAATGGTCTCATAGTGCTATGATGCTGTGCCCTTTGAAGATCTGCCTCATCAAGGATTAGCATTTTAGTGTTAAGGAAAAAATTATCTCCAGGATGATTTATAATATTTCATATATATATATATTTATGCAGTACTTGGAGGGACTCTCGAGTCTTAATATGTTTTACCTACAGGAAATGCTGTGTCTGGGCTTGTTCCGCATGGTACAAGGGACCGCTCAACACATGGTTTTCAGAAACCAATGACTTGTCTTTGAGGAAGTTTCTTCTATCTTGCAGGCAAGCTGATGGAGTTACTATTTTAAGAAGCAGGGTGAGGTTGGACAGAGATTGCTCGTATTTATTTATTTTTCTAGACCTCTGTAGTCTGTTTACTGTGTGTATACTGGTATTTTTTTAACCCAATCTTCTCTCAAGGTTGGAAATGTCTTTGTCATTTAAAATAAGCTGCCAAAATAAAAGAGTCATCTTAGGATATTTTTGATATTTTTCTCCCGCGGTTAATACTTTCAAAAATATTTTTCCGTATACTTTTCCACCTGTTATTCTGCTGAGCTGAAGACAGATTCCTTAGCCTATTTAGAAATACCCTCCTGGGACTTTCTTCTGTCCCTTCTCCCCCAAAATAAATAAACACAGAAAGCTATGTGAACAAAAATCTTGTTGGGAAGCAGTGCAGTGAAAAAGAGCTTTGGAGTCTGAGAATCCTGGGCCCAGCTCCTCACTTGAGTTTAGTGTATTTGGCCAACTTGCTGAATTTGGCTGAGTCTCAGTTTACCCATCCATCAAACAGGATAATAATACACTTTGTGAGAATTAATAGCATATAATGTATGGAAAGCTCTCAGTAGACAGTAGTGAATTGTCACTAATAATAGTGATAATATGAGTGTATTTTAGTTAAAGTCTTATTAGATGGTGCCCTTTTGGATTTATGTTCTTGGAGTGTTAAAGGAAAACACAACATGGCATCAGCATCACCGAGCAAAAATGGAAACCAGAGTGTTTTCTGCTACCTGTATGTATTAGTTCGTTTTAATGCTGCTGATAAAGACATACCCAAAACTGGGTAATTTATATATATATATAAAAAAAGAGGTTTAATGGACTCACAATTTCATGTGGCTGGGGTGGTCTCACAATCATGGCGGAAGGCGAAAGGCGTGTCTTACATAGCCGCAGGCAAGAGAGAATGAGAGCTAAGCGAAAGGGGAAACCCCTTATAAAACAACCAGATTTCATGAGACTTATTCACTACCACAAGAACAGTGTGGGGGAAACTGCCCCCATGATTCAATTATCTCCCACTAGGTGCCTCCCATGACACGTGGGAATTATGGGAACTACAATTCAAGATGAGACTTGGGAGGAGACACAGCCCAACCACATCACTCTGGTTAGTATTGGATGCTGCTGTCCTGATTTACTTTAGGGTAACCTGGAGTGACTTGACATCTCAAAGATTCAGAGGCTGCCTGAGGATTTTGTACAGTGATTTGAATTGGCCTAAGGAACCTTGAGCTGCTTCTCAAATAAATCGCCCTAGGACTCAGAGTCACGTGATATGTCGAATAATGTTCTTTGGAGACAGCCATGCCTGGATTCCAATCCTTGTTCTGCCGCTTAAACACTGTGGTCTCTTGGGCAGTTTCCTTATCACCCTGGGTCTTACCTTTCCTTCTTTGCGGAACGATGCTGATTATATTTTCTTTTCAGGTTGTCAATTGCATGGAATTATGTATGTGTAGCACCCAGAAGAGCTTGCTGGGATTGCAAACATAAACAGCCTCAGAAAAGAGTTAAAGCCCTTGGGTTTGAGTTTTAATCTTAATTTTGCCACTGCCTCACTAGGTGAACAGGGCAGATTACTTAACCTTTACCTCCAAATGGATGTGTTGGAATTAAATATTTTAAAAGGAATTACTATTTAAAAAAAACATATGATGGATGTAAAGTAGTTAAGTATAATCTTAGAATATTTTCCCACAAATTTTCTTTTGGTGCTACTTTCAGAGAAAGCGTAAGGAGTTGGAAACACGATATATTTTACATTTGGTTACTTCTTTTGCCCTTCTGATGTGAGAGGTATGTGGGCAACTGCTGGGTCTTCATTCTGGCTCCTTGGAAGTTAGAGTGAGGGGCTTAGTAACATTTTCTTTCTCCTAAATGTTTCCCCCCAAATCTAGGAGTAATGCAGACATGAAATAGATGCCCTGACTGCTGCGGGCTGCAGTGCTGAGAATTAAATGAGGTGAGTCTCAGAGTCTCTGAAAACATGATAACACCCACATCAGACAGCAGACAGCAATGGGTCATTTAGGGGTTTGCACCCCAGGTTGGATTAAAAGGAGATTAAAGAAAAGAAAGGTTAAGGGATGTGTTTACAAAAGGAACTGGACACTTTTCTATCATTTAGGATGTTTATTGTGTTTAACTTGCTTTTCCTTTTTGAAACGGAAAGGTGCACTTCAAGATTAATTTGCAGCATATTTAATTGTACGGGGAGTTTCTGTCTCATAAGGCTATACGAAATAATGAGCAGATAAGAAAGGACTAATGGCAGCATCTGCATGGAAGTTCATGACACATTTATCTGCATAAAAATGCTCTCCTTATTTCTAAGGAGTAGTAAAGACAAATAAAAAATGCATTCGATTAAATGACAAAGGACATGTAGTGCCCCCTGAAGGTGTGAGCTGGACCTCGCTGGCCTGAAGGCTGTGACAGGGTTAGCTAAATGGCAGACAGTAGCTGCATTTCTGCTGTCACAGTTTCAGCAATTGTCACTGTCAAAATGTAGCACATTCATTATTCAGGTACAAAACTATAATTAAGAACATTGGCCAAGAAATGGGGAGGGGAATTGGACGGTTCAGGGAGTTGGAAGTAGGATAAAGAGCAGTTCTCCTCTAGGTCACTAGTTCAAACTTCGCCCATATTGGTAATGACTGACAGTCATTAATATATGATGGCTGTTTGATGGCCTATATGAGTAGGTGCCCATATCAGAAAAGTCACCATTGTAATTGGCATTAATTGGCACTTCTGTTGGCAGCATCAGCCGAGAGGCTGAAGATTGAATGGGCTGTAGTGAGAGAATTATCCTCTCATCCTGGGAAGCGGCCTCCCAGGGCAAGGATGAAGCACTGTCACAGTGCATGGTGGGAAGGTGGCTGCTGTCCCAGCTCCTTCAGCTCTGCAAACACAGGACATCAGTTTGTAGTGTTCTCTGTTTGGCACCTTGCTTGATGAGCCCTGAATCTACTTAAAATCTAGCCTCACCAAAATGAACAATGGGCCCACAAAAAGCCAAAAGGCCCAAGTGTGAGATAACGAGGGGGACCTGCAGGGCATCGTCCCCTCGTGGTTTGCTTCCTGCCAAACCAAACTTGGTCAGAGAGCTGAGCAGCTTCCTATGTGATCTGCAGCAACGATTTATTTTAGCTTATGTGTTTTTTTTAAACAACAGCAAAAAACCATACTCTTTTTAGAGATGAAAAAGCAAAGAGTTCTCTCTCTCGCTCAATGACCTGCAGTAAAACACTGTTGGACATGCCACCATGTTGACTTTTTATAGTTGAAAATTAAAGGTCCACTGTAATCATTTTTTGCTCTCCATTGATTTAAGGACCCAGTCGAATAATAATTTAGACTCAACTTTTCATCTCTGCATAGATTCATGATTTGTAAGCTGTTTCTGGCAACTATCTCTGTAATACCAATGAAATTTCTTTTTATTCATCTCACTTTTTGGCTCAACTCCCTCATAATTAGCTTTTAGGTCAAAGTAACAAGTATTTAAGATTAAATTTCTGTGGATATCAACTCCTAAAGGACATTTCTCCAGCGGTACTTCTAGTCACCATTTCCTTAGCATTTTCTTACATATATGCTGAAGTAAAGTACTTGAGGTATGTATTTTCTGAAAAATTAAACATCAGAAAGAAGTTTACTTGTGCTTTAAATAGCTATTGTTTTCAGGTTTCAAAAAAAGCAGTTTGTGAAAAGCAAGTTAAAAAGTAAAATAGAGAACATTTAAAAAGTAGTAAAAATTTTGTTTGAACTATTATTTATTTAAATTAGAAGAAAGATTATTCCTGTCGTTTAAATTATCTGGAAAATCAGAGCAATTTCTTCCTTAAACAGAAAAAGTCATGTCTTATAATGTTCATATTTTTATTGAAATAAACTTTTTACCATTTCTTTTTTGAGGTGGTTTTTAATTTATACATTAAACCATAAATCTCATTTCTTGGATATTATTCTTGCCTTTAAAATTTTCTGTTTCAAAATCTAATTTTCTGGGTTTTAACATTGTAAAATAAATGTGGAAGTTTTACTATAGGTGGCGCTCTTGCATACAGCTTGCTTTTAGAACTGTCTACATAGAATGAGTTTGGCAGGCAAGTTTAATGGAAGCTGCTTAATAGTATACATTATATATCATAAATTCTACTTAATGATTCTGCCCAGATAAAGAGCCATGAGCCCATTCCTCAATGATTGATATGCTTGTTTCATCCAAATTACCACCATTTGGTATATTATGACTTTTATTAGCAATCCAAGAATTTTAACAAGTAGATCATGGCTCACACACATTAAAGTGTGAGAGAAATTTGGATCTTTCCATTTTCTCCCTAACTGCAGAGATGGCACCATTTATGTTTCCCATTATAAAAATAAAAATTTCAAGACATGATTAAAGAAAGGTAGACAGTGTACTACTGAAAGAGCAATTCACTCTCTTGGAAGAAAGATGATGAATGCAGGATCTCACACTGACCCAAAGTATGGAAATGTTTACAGTCAAAATGTTGACCAATAATTTGATGAAATTCAGTATGTGGAGAAAGTACTTATTATACATGTCATTATTTATTTTAGGTGAAAGGAAGACACCCTGAAAATTTTAATTGTAGGCAAAGAGATAGATTAGATTAAGAGAGGTAAGAACATAGAGATGTGTGTGTGTTCTTGAGAGAGGTGGCAAGAGGAAAATGAGAGAAAGGTGGGAGAGAAGGGAGAGAGGAAAAAGACTTATGGAAAGGAGCAAATTGATTGGGGTTGCAGAGGGATTGCAGAGTCCTTCCTCTGTCTGGTGTTAAAGCTCTTCTCTGGGACTATAGGGATGCTGGTGTTCTTCTCAGAGGGGCCTCTTATCAGGTTCAATATCAGTGACAATATTTTGTTGATTAGTTAAATCTGTACTGTGGTTTAGCCACACGCAAGTATTCCACTTACAAAGCATCTCAAAGAAAATGTTTAGGAAAATGTGTCATTCCCATTCTGTAAATCTTTTCTTACTCTTTTGGAAAATTTGGGATAAATTAATTCTCCATGATCCACACATATATCACCTTAGTACACTCAGAATGTACAAATACTTCTTTCTGTTTGACATTTCATACTCAGAGAGCACTTCTTGATTTTTTTTCTAAAGCCTTTATATAACAAGTTAAAAATAATCTTCCTTGATGATTTAGTGGCATGAACTGAGATTAGAACTTCAAAGACAGTTGCACACAAGATGTACTTATTGTTCTTGTGGTCCTTTAAATATTCTGAAATGTCATTTTCAAAATGTCATTGCCATTTATTTACTTCTTGTTTTATATTTCTTCATATAAAAATAAAAACTCTTCATTGTACCACATTTAAGGCCTTCACATTTCCACTTAAAATAATAATTTATATTTCCACAAAACCAGACTTTTTCTGTACAGAGGTGAAGCTCACAGCTTATGCATCATAATCTCACAATCTTTTAAGAAACAAAATTAGCAGTTTTAAATCTCAAACACTGAAGAAAGTGCTTATTTATTAATTAAAGAGATATATCTAATACAATAAACTATTCTAAAATAATTTTCTTTATAACATATGAGTTAGATTAAATTTTTTCCCTTCTTTCTCACTCAGTTCATAAGAACAAACTAGGAATGATATGTAGATTCTAAAAAAGTGCGCTGTTCATTATCCACGTTTCCCCTAATGTTGTCAATGATTTAATAACATATCATTAACTTTGGCAATTTGGTAAGTTGTTTGCTGATGAATAAGCTTTCCTAGCTAACCTAAAAAAAGTTTACTGATCAACAAAAGTTTCATCAAATGTGTATGTGCCAGGCACTGTTTTATGAGCTTCCTATATAAGAACTGTTTTAATCTTCTCCCAAACTTTAAGAAGTAGGTGTTATCACCCTCCTTTTACAGATGAGAAAGCTGAGACACATAGGACTTCAATAACCAAGCCAAAGCACTACAGATAGTGGGCAGCATTTCCAGGATTTATCTGCTACACCTGACTCTAGAGTGCATGCTTACCCACCATACAGGTGGCTTCCACTTTAATAAGTGGAAATGAATGAAAGTAAGGCAGAAAGGTGTGAACCAAAGAAGTTACTTATTGGCTTTGAATTTTTTGAACTATCGGGATGGAGCAGAACCAAGGAGACATCCAGTAGGAGTATGGGGTGGGGAGGGGAGGGGGATATCCTGTTCTTCCTCAATATTGTTTACATTATTTATGTTGAGTACTTAAGAATTCTCAGAATTAACAGATATACAGATAGTGCAATGAAATCAGACAATATTGTTAGGAGATTTTCTCCATGAGTCTTTTGTATTTCTGCACTCTTTGCAGACAGAAGCATTGACTGATTTTGTTTTGGATTATCTTTTCAGGCGTGTTTGTATAGGTGAACAGCTTTAGGAGTTAGAGATAGTATCACCTCCTGGAGAAAAGGGAAGACATGCTTACTGTTTATTACAATAAATGATTTAGGATTCCTGAGCTGAGATTTTCTCTCTTCTAATACAATATTATGCACGTGCAGGGTCACCTGTCCCTCTTTGCATTGCCCTATGGGGACTGTAATTTGGGAAACCAAAGCAAAAATAATGATATTCTGGCTATTTCTGTTACTGATAGTAGTAACATCCTTTGTCTCTGACCTAGGGGTATCATGTCTTCTGCCAGCACCTATGAAATGATGGCAGGCTAACTTGCTAGCGTGCAAATATGGTAAAATCTTAGACTCTTCATAGTTCTTAATAAAGACATACTATTATTAAAAAGGGTTTGAATTATTTATTGGATGATAATCTCATTTCATTGATATGTATGATTTTCAGTTAACACTTCAATATATTAATATGGACTATATGGTTTATTTTCTGCAAATATTCTATTGGAAATTTAATTATTATTACCTCAGACACTCTTCTTACTTTTTTTGAAGATGTTCTTTAACACTCTCCCATGTTAGTAGATTCATATATTGATACTTGTGTCAGAAAAGAGAAAATATGTATAGGGACATGTCAATGAGACCTGAGAGAACTACCTGGAATATTATATGGGCTACAGTTTGGAAATCATTGTTTTAAACCATTATGTCTCTGTAAGATGATCAAACTATATTTTCCTTCCATGAGCACAGAATATTTTATTCATCAGAGACTTTCCATCTAGTTTAGTAGCAAAGTGGCTTAACAGAGTTCTTGATTAGTATCAGGACACCTAACTTCTAGTCCTTACTTGGTCAAGAGTGCTGTGTCAGCAAAATGTCTCATCGTCTCTTTTTTAAAAAATGGGGATAATAAACCTTGCCACTTGCCTTCCTCAAGGCAATATTAAGAATACTAATGAGAGTCTCTTGAGAGATTTTGAAATCTGCAGAAAGAATAAGCTATATAAATACATAGCACCAAATCATATTTTAGAACTGAAAGAGCTTATAGAAAGCACTCGGGCTGATTCTCTTATTTTATAGGTGAAGAAACTGAGGTCCAGAAAGGTTAGATGGCCGGTCTAAGGGCACACAATTTGTTAGTTTGTAAGAAAGTACAAGAAGTTTAGTCACACAGTTTTCCTTTTTAAAAAAGTTGGTTAGTGGTAAAAAAAATTAATAATCCCAGATATTTCAAGGTGTCATAGTGATGTTATTCCCTTGGCGGCTTGGCATAAGGCAGGTTGCTCCCCAGAGGCAAGCCAATTTGATAATTGCAGTTCATCAAGAATTCTACTTGCATCAGTTGAACATAGCATTTGGTTTTTGGCAGTTGTACTGATTGTATTTGGGTGAAGATATTCTTAAAGATACCCTTGGAATAGTTGATGCCTCAGTTACACGTGGAAAGGCACTGATTAACTCTTTCGGATGACTGGAATAATGACTTAGGCTGAATATGAAGCACATATGTAAGAATATGTTGCTGGATCCAGACTCCCATATTTTCTTTTTGGTGGTTTACTTGGTGTGATTGGATTTCTCCAACTGCTTTGAATGTTTACTAGTGTACACTTGCCAGGGAGCGTCAGCACCTTCCCTGGGTTATGTAGTGCCAGTGACAGCTGAGAACTGTCAGACAGCCAAGATTCACTAGAACTGTTTACCCTTATCCAGGTACAAACAGTGGGGCCAGAACCTGCATCACTTATCGTGTTGATGCTCTTAATTAGGTACTAATTAAATATTGTGTCTGGAAACTTCCTTTATCTGTGGTACAGAAGAACAGTTTGAAGCAAATGTATGACCAAAACCAGACAGATCTATTAAGTCATCAGGAATTTCCAGATGCCTTACATTGAGAGATCCTTATCCAATATTAGCATACCCAGGTTGCAGTAAATTTGTTAACTTATCATTTGGAAATATGTCCTTGTTTTTGGTTTTGTCCATTCAGGGTACCAGAGTTTTGATTTGTATTTGTTTTTTAATTTAGGGATTTTTGAAAAAGACCAGGGTGTTTTCATCTGTTGAGACAGGCTGAAACCACATTCTGAAAAACATCCAAGTTTTACTGAATATATAACATACACTAAAGGAAATACAGTAGGTTCTAATATTCATTTCCAGTCCCTCTACCATAAAGAACAGATGAGGACCTTTAAACCTATATTAACATGGTAAGGGAGTTAGTTTTTGTTTTGGTCTAGCCTGGGGTCTCTTTGGAAAGCCCAAGATGGCTCTTGCCTCACACCCTCTGCCCTGGATAACTGACCCCTGTTTCACTTGCACAAAGTTCTCTCTGAATAGCATCCTTCTTGGTTGCCCTAAAATTGCTAGTTGCCTGCCTTATCAGTTACTGGGCCCCATTGTTTCTACAACTGGAGCACCCCTGTTCTCTCCCTTGTATTCTCCCTTGGTTATGACTAGCAATGCACTATGACATGAGAGAACAATTTAAACATGCTTTGGTAAGAACATCCGTGGACACCCCCACCCCAAATCCTTTGCACAGTGCCATGACATTACTGGTGAGATACCATTAATTGTCACCTGGCACCTGCAGCTCAGAGCCATTATCTGTTTCCTCACTTCAGTGCCAATATCTGATGGATACACATACACTATTTATTTGATAGGGCATAGGTAATAGTTTCTTGCCTCTATGGTGCCTCTGTCTTGATTTGGATAAATAATAATGACTAATGATGATATTAACAACTCACATTTATTGGATGCTTGTAGGGTGCTAGCACTGTTTCAAATGATCTGCATGCATTAACTCAAACTTTAAAATATAGAAAATATTCATGTAAGTTATTGACATGCTTTTTTTCTGTCAGTGATGGGGGAACAGAATATAGAAAGCAATTATTTTAGGCTATTCTATTTTCTCTTCTATTACGTGTTCTATCTTAGAGTTGAGGCAGTCCAGGAAGTGTTTTGTGCTGAAACTGTGTATTGGTTAGTGATAACTACAGCAGGGACCCTTGTACCTTTAAGGAAGCTTATCTCAGGTAAAACAGAAACCGTTTCTCAATATTTCTTAAGAGACTAAAGAGATACCTTTTTAGAATGTCAGCGACAGACGTTAGGTTTACTGAAATGATAAAATAAGACTATATCAAATAAGTTTACATTGTTATATACTTGTTAAAACACAATTCATTAACAGTAGGCAACAGGTGATGGCTTATTTTGAAGAACTGAAGAAACCAAGCAGTCTTAAAAAATACCAGATACAGTTGGTGTGGGGTCAAGGACGCACCTGTATTGAGATTTTTGAGGCTCTATAGAACAACTTTTTGGCAATGGTATTAGGTAAACGCCTTCTTTCAAAGGAACAAATGCTGTCCAAATGATATCAGTTTGTGGTTTGACTTTCAACATTATAAATGCTAGTTTTTAAAAAAAGTCATACAGAAAATTTAAATTTTACACGGTCAAACAGATACGTTCATTCCTTTTATGATTTCCATCTGTTGTAACATGTTTAAAAGATGTCTCCTATTTAAAAATTATGTAATAGCTCATCATACTTTTCTTTTAATAACTTGTAGGTTTATTCTAGAAATTCAAATATTTGATTTATCTGAAATGTGTTACAGTGTATGGCGTGAGGTTGGTATCTACCTTAATTTAATTTTTTTATAAACAATTACAACTTTCCCTATCCATTGAATAGTTCCGATTTGATTTGAATGGACACTTTTGTTGTACAATAAATCACTTATGTACTTCCTGGAATGTGTATTCTCTTTCATTGATCTTACCACATAATCTTACACCAGTACCACATGACACATGGTTTTAATCATGATAACTATACAATGCATTCCAATAACTTATAAAACATTTTCCTCCTCCTTCTCTTTCTTGTTCTTGTGCTTTTTCTTTCTTGTTCTTGTGCTTTTTCTTCTCCTCCTGTCTTCCTGTCCTCATCCTACTTCTGTTCCTCCTCCTCCTTTTTTTTTTTTTTTTTTTTTGAGATGGGGTTTCACTCTTGTTGCCCAGGCTGGAGTGCAATGGCGAGATATAGGCTCACTGTAACCTCCGCCTCCCGGGTTCAAGCAATTCTCCTGCCTCAGCCTACCGAGTAGCTGGGATTACAGGTGCCCACAATCACGCCTGGCTAATTTTTTATATTTTTCTTTTTTTTTTTAGTAGAGACAGGGTTTCACCATGTTGGCCAGCTGGTCTCGAACTTCTGATCTCAGGTAATCCGCTCACCTCAGCCTCCCAAAGTGCTGTGATTACAGGTGTGAGCCACTGCGCCTGGCCTATGAATTGTCTTAAATATTCTCAATATTCTGGCATCTTTATTATTTAGATAACATATCAAATCACCAAAATGTCCTCTAGGATTTAAAATGGGATCATACTAAATTTATGGGTTGATTTAGGGAGAACTGACTTTATAACAACATTGAATCTTCATGTCTGAGACAAAGTTTACCTTTACATTTATTCAAGAATTGTTTTTGTCCTGTAGTGGAGTTTTATAGTTTTCTTATTATAGGATCTAGACATTTCTTTATGAATATATTTTGGAGAATAAAAATATTTTTAAAATATATGTTAAGTGAATATATAACATGTTAAATGTTTAAATTGCTGCTATGAATGAATCTTTATTTTTTTAAAAATATTTTCTTTAAATACTTTTTAATTGGCCTGAAGGATTACCAGAGAAAGAAGGTAATTATGTTCCACAAAATGATTACATAAGAATGTTTTAAGTGCTCATTATTGATGGACTTAAGTAAATGTGGCTGATGTGTATTAGTGACTATAATATTGCAAAGAAAATGATGGTACAGATTCATATTTATTGGTGACAAGAAAAAGGACCATAAGATATTTTCGAGAGAAAAGCATGTTAAAGAATACCATTTGGCATGATATAATTAATGTAAAACCATACACACATAATTCATATGTGCCTATATGTTTGGAGAGAGAGAGAACATTATTTCCCAAAGTGTCAACAGATTATTCTGCATGTCAGGTTTTGGAATAATTTTTATCTTCTTTTGTACATTATTTAATTTTATAATAGCATTTACCATACTTTACCAAAACAGTAATATAGTTAAATCCAAATAGAAAACAATATTAGAACTTTCATAAGCATTACAAATAAATACATAAAATTAGCTTTTAGCATAATTTTTTCCACTAAGGCATTCTTTTTTTTTTTTTTTTTTTTTTTTTTAAGACAGAGTCTCACTCTGTCGCCCAGGCTGGAGTGCAGTGGCGCGGTCTCGGCTCACTGCAAGCTCTGCCTCCCAGGTTCATGCCATTCTCCTGCCTCAGCTTCCCGAGTAGCTGGGACTACAGGCACCCGCCACCACACCTGGCTAATTTTTGTATTTTTAGTAGAGACGGGGTTTCACCATGTTAGCCAGGATGGTCTCGATCTCCTGAGCTCATGATCCGCCCACCTCGGCCTCCCAAAGTGCTGGGATTACAGGTGTGAGCCACCGCGCCCGGCCCACTGAAGACATTATTATGGATTTAATATAATGTTTATGGATAGCCTTGAAAATAGTTAAACAATTTATTTGGCCTACTAAAATCTCTTCAGCATGCAAAATTGTTAGTAATTCTATTTATTTGAGCTGCACCAATCACATTGATAATAACACCTAGCAGAAGCATCTTCACATCTGAAGGACAGATGACTTGCACTCGATTCCTATCACTGTGCAATCACACATCCTCAAGTGATTCATAACACTCTGTTTCTCTTTAACTTAAAACAAAATCACTGATTACCTTATTGGTTATTTTAAAAATTCCATTTGAAAACTTTAAAATTGTGGATATTTAAATAAAATATTTTTAAATGAAAGAGATAAATCGTGATAACATGTTATTTTTTTTACTTTCATGTTATATTTGCATAACTTAAATGTGGTAAACTTGACAATTGAAATAGGAATTAAGTGGAGCTAAGCCTCTCCTCTCACCCTTAATATAACTTTTATATTTATAACAATTTGTGAATTGATAGGAGACTAGTTAGAAAATTGCTAAATTTTCTTACAGACATCATGATCATCATGATTTTAGTCACCACCCAAATGAGTTATTACATTCTTACTAGTGCCAAGCCTTATGCTTTATATGCATATTCTCATTAGCAACTACTTGTGAAGTAAGGACTGCTGTTGTACCATAATAGACATGGGGATTGCGAGACTCAGAGATGTTAAGGAATCTGTCAGTGGTCATACAGGTTAGAAGCTGGATTTGACCAAGGCCAAACTGCCCCTAAAGTTCAAGCTTCAAAGCACAACAATCTCACAATCCAGTCTCCCAATATTTAATTTCCAACAACTCAACTCTTTTCTTTTGCTTTACCTCTCTTTTCTCATTACATTACACCGTTTCCTCCTCTAATTATTCCCCAGAGGTGACTTGACATCCACATATGTTGGATGCAAAATTTGCCTAGTTATTCAGAGAAAGATATTCAATAGTTTCAGATTTTTGACTCATCAGGATTTAAATTCAGCAGATTGGAGGCTGTGCAATCTCTTCATATTATAAAGAATGTGATCTAGGCCCAGACAAGTTAAGTAACTTGTCTACACTTGCATAGCTTGCTTCATTGACAAACACTTATCAAACACTTACTTTGTACTAAATATTTTTCTGTCTGCTTTATGAATGTTAATTTGATCCTAATAAACAATCTATAAGGTAGGTGAAACTATTACTATCCCTATTTAACACATGAGGAAACTGAGGCATAATGAAGCTGAGTAACAGGGCCACTGTCACACAGATAGCAAGTGGTAGAGCCAGATTTGGAAGGAGACAGCTGTCAAGTCTTTGCCTGTAATCACATGAGCCATGTTGCCTAGAACAAGAGTCCGGGGCTTCTGGTTTTCATTCATTCTTCTTTCTACCATATTGGCTGATTACTTCAACCTATGAATAAGAAGAAAGTTATCTGAAACCTGGTTTTGAAAAATAATTAGTTTTATACATTTTAGAAAAATTAACGAATACTGTGAATATAATTAAACACTAAGTGAGTGCTGTGTATACTTTTAAAATGATGCTTCTCTGGAGCTATGTTTATTGTTAAATGGAACTGTCCTATTGATGATGACCTTTTCACCCAATACCTGCTGATCTTCCATAATGCTAATATACACCCAAAGTTGACACTTGCTAGACTGTCTTTGCAAGCATAAATATTAGACATACTAAAATTTGATTTTGGCTCATCTTTTACTTTGAATAAAGAGATCTAAAAATCAATCCATACAGCTGCGTTTCATTTTCTATGAATAGAGGTCAAATATATCAGGGCAAGAGTAGTATTAAAGGTAATCTATGAGGTCAAGGTAAATGTATCAGGTAAGCAGTTTTCAAAATTCTGATTTTAACAGGATATACAAACCTTGTATAGTTTGTTTATTTTTTGCTGTCTTGCAACAGATCCTATGTGAAATTTAGCATTTAATTCCTAAAAATAGCATTAATGAAGTATATCTGTGTGTTTAATTTTATTTCTCTTATAATTGGGGGTATTAGAGAAAAGAGCTTGGAGGTTCAAGGTCTGAGTTTAACACTTACTGACTATGTGACTTTAGGCAGATTACTTTTTTTCTCTAAGTTTTAGTTTTCTTATCTGTATAGGGGGAAACTTATTCCTAATTAATGAAGTTGTGAGGATTGAATAAAGTAATACAATTGATTTTTTTAAATAGAAAATGCAATTTATTTTCAAAGTGTCATCAAATGCTATCAATTTTACTGCCAGATTTAGTATTCCACGTTGGGGCGGGCTATGGCAGTGGGCCTCATGCCAGATGAGGGTTTTCCCCCTTGGATTCTAATCTGGGGCCTGTCACCACACTAACTATGTGAGCCAGGGCAAATATGTGGGACTCAGCTTCTTGCGCAATCAAAGGTTTGGACTAGGGGAAACTTAAGGTCCTTACCAGGTTAGAAGTTCATTGATTCATGATGTTCTTTGCTATATGTGGTCAAGGGATCTGAGCACAAGGCTGGGGTCACAAGTCACAGCCTAAAATACCTATGTTTGACACTGTTTAGGTATATAGAAAAAAATCACATAACTATATAGGCACCTCCTTTTCACCTTTTAAAAATGGAATTGGAGTAACTATGCAAAAACCTTCATTCAAATCCAGATGTTTTTAATCTTTTTTAAAGCTAGAGAATACTTATAAATGGAGTTATGTGGTGATATGGTTTGGCTCTGTGTCCTCACCCAAATCTCATCTCGAATTGCAATCCCCATAATCCCACATGTTGAGGGAGGGACCAGGTGGGGGATGATTGGATCGTGGGGGTGTTTTCCCTCATGCTGTTCTCGTGATAGTGAGTGAGTTCTCACGAGATCTGATGGTTTTATAAGGCAGCTTTTCCTGCTCTTGCTCACTCTTTCACCTGCTGCCATGTAAGATGTGCCTCTTCCCTTTCCACCATGATTGTAAGTTTGCTGAGGCCTCCCTAGCCACGCGGACCCAGTCAACTAAACCTCTTTTCTTTATATTATAAATTACCCCGTCTTGGGTATGTCTTTATAGCAGTGTGAAAATGGACCTAATACATGAAATAAATATATCAAATATGTAAAAATGCAGTTTTTTTCCTAAAAATAAAGGTCTAGCAACTGAACTCATTATCTTTCCCTCGAAACCCTTCTTTATTCTTTTTTTTGTGTGTGACTTTTTTTTTTTATTTTTATTTTTGATTTTTGAGACGGAGTCTTCCTCTGTCACCCAGGCTGGAGTGCAGTGGCACAATCTTGGCTCACTGCAATCTCTGCCTCCTGGGTTCATGCGATTCTCCTGCCTCAGCCTCCCGAGTAGCTGGGACTACAGGTGCGTGCCACCATGCCTGGCTATTTTTTTTTTATTTTTTATTTTTTGTAGAGATGGGGTTTCACTGTGTTCGCCAAGATGGTCTCGATCTCACCTCGTGATCTGTCCTCCTCGGCCTCCCAAACTGCTGGGATTACAGGCATGAGCCACCACGCCTTGCCCCTTAATTTTTAATTTTTATTGGTACATAGTAGGTATATATATTTATGGGGTGCATGTAATGTTTTGATACAGGCACACACGTATAGCAATCACATGAAGATAATTGGAGTATCCGTCACCTCAAGCATTTATCATTTCTTTGTCTTAGGAACATTCTGATTACACTCTTTTAGTTATTTTAAAATATATAATAAATTACGGTTGACTTAGTCATCCGGTTGTGCTATCCAATACTAGATCTTATTCATTCTAACTATATTTTTGCACCCATTAACTATCTCCACTCTCTCCCACTCCTTGCCCTTCCCAGCCTCTGGAAACCATCATTTTACTCTATCTCCTTGAGTTCAATGGTTTTAATTTTTAGCTTCCACATACGAGTGAGAACATGAGAATAAAACCCATTCTTCTTTATTCTTGTCACCAGTTGCTTTAATATTGAATACCTGTGAATTATCTTGGACTTTCAAACTCACTTTGATATGCCATGGATCACCAAGATAATTTTACATCCAAAATAATTGGACTTGCCCCCAGTCCTGTACCCATAAAACCCCCTGACCCAACTGGCAGAAGGCATAGAAAGAGAGAAGACATGAAGCAGCTGGACATCAGAGAGAAGCAGCTTGACTTCAGGGGGACGACTTGACATCAGGACTTTGGAGAAGAGTCCCTCACGGGACTCCAGGGGAGGATCATCTTCCTGCTCCATCCCCCTTCCAGCTCCCCTTCCCACTGAGAGCCATTTTCATTGGCAATAAAATCCTTTGCATTCATCATCCTTTAATTTGTTCATGCAACCTCATTCCTCCTGGATGCCAGATAAGGACTCGGGTGTGGGTGCAAAAGGCTGTCACACTGACCCTCCACTGAGCTGTTAACACTTAAGCTGTCTACAGAGAGCAAAGCTAAAAGACCACACTGTAACACATGTCCTCTGGGGCTTCAGGGGTCGTGGGTAACTCCCTAGATGCTGCTGTGGGGCTGCATGGAGTTGTGCTCCTGCTGGCACCCACAAGTGCTTGCTCTGGCTCCTGCATCTGCTCACCTGCATTCTCCTCCTCCCACGAGGGGTAGGGAGCTGCTGGCTGATAAGTGAGGCACCTCTGTTGTGAGGACCAAGAAGGGGTCAAGGAGTATTTTCTGTTTCAGTACAATCCTTTGTCTGGTTATCTATCTATAGAATTCTATTTATTCGTGTAAATACACATGAATTCTTGATTTTTATATCAAAGGCTTCTTGATTTAAACTTCTTTCCTTCCCTTCAGGAAGAATTATAATTGTTGGACAGTGAAATAAGTTTTTTCCCTAAAGCTTCTTCACATTTAGAGTCTGTTTTCCCCTTTAGAATCTGTGCCTGTGTGATTGTAACTATATTTCTCTTGAGCTTTCTAACTGTAGGACTTAACATTTAGCCCCCTTAATTTTCTCTTTTTCAAGTCTAGTGTGCTCAGAGGATATGTTCGATGCCCCTTTCGTAGAGCAAAAATGCCAAATGCTATGACTGTTACTTTAACAGTGAATTTGATCTTTTCCTCTTGATGTTTACCGGACTCCCAATGGATGTGACTTATACAGAATATCTAAGTTTTAAGAAGATTTGTTGGATATTATTTTAGTATTTTCCTTTTTATTCTTCATAAAGGTACTTTTTCTCACATAAAATGAGCTGAACTTTGTCGTTTGTATATATCCAGTTAAACCACTTCTATAAATAGCACAATCTCAGTTGTTCATCATCGTCAGGAAATGAACTGTTTGGATAAGTAAATTTTCTTAGAACATTATCTTTTCAAAAGCCAGAACTTTCCATTTATTTTGGATTGACATCTCTCCAAAACATATGCAATACTATATGTGATATTTATTTTCCAACCATGGTGGCTAGCTTCTTAAAAACCACTGTGTTGGAGGAATTTAGTTGTTAAATATAAAAGAAGATGAGAGGGAAGTGATATGGGAAGTAAAGCTACTAAGGCTCTTATAAATATTTTTACACTAGAGCTGTGTGTTTAAATTCTTAAAAAGTACACTCACTAAACTAATAGAGAGCAATTAAATGAAGAGAGTTTGAATTGCATTTTAGAAATGGCTAAGTAACAATGAGTTATTTGTATTAATTTTTATTTACTATCTCTTTGTTACTGGGATATCCTCTCCCCTTCAGTGAAAAGCTTAAACAATAATTTACTTTTTTTTTTTGTTGCAGATGCTATGCATTCTGTGTGGCACTTATTTTGGTAACTGGTTGCTATGGGTGGATTTATGTCCCCTTCACCCCAACTCACACATTGAAGTTCTAATTCTCAGAACCTCAGATAGGGTCTTTACAAAGGTAATCAAGCTATAATCAGGTCTTTTAGGGTGGGCCCTAATCCAATATGACTTGTGTCCTTATAAAAAAGGGGAAAGGTGGACACACACACACACACACACACACACACGGAAAGCACCATATGAAAACTCAGAGATTGGGTGATGTGTATATAAGCCAAGGAAGGCCAAAGATTGTCAGCAAGCCACCAGAAGAGGAAAGAGACATCAGACAGAGTCTTCCTCATAGCCCTTATAAGGAACCAACCCTGCCAACAGCTTGATCTCAGACTTCTCATCTCCAGAACTGTGAGACAGTACATTTCTGTTGTTTAAGTCACCCAGTTTCTGGCACTTTGCTACAGCAGCCCTCATAGGGCTTGTTGATTTTATGAAAAGGAATTGTTGATTTTATGAAAAGGAATACTGACTTCCACCTTGTAGGTCCTGTCTTCTGTATCTCACCATGGTTTCAGAGACTTAAAACAGTTTGGCTTGTGGAGATGGAAAGAGCTCAGAATATTTGCAGGTATGTCTTTGTCCTTCTCTCAAATATCCAAGATCATCCATCCATCCATCCATTCATCCATCCAGTATTTATTGAGTGTCCACCATGTGACAGGCTGACATCCACTTTGCCCTTGTGAAACTTGCATTCAGCAATTATAGTGTTCATGGAATTTGCAATCCAGGACTACATTAGCTTAGTTCATAAAAATGTAATAATCCCTCTTAAGTACATCTGCTGGCTTTACATCTACCTCTTTCTTCACTGATAGAGACTAGATTGCAATTATAATGCCTGATTTAATTTTTCTCATGATATTTTGTTTTTCTCAGGGCTTTTAGCATTTGTGCATGCAAAATCCTGTATTTCCTCCTATTTTGTCACTGTTTCTTCTCGTTTTTCTCTTCTAATGTCCACAATAATTCAGTTTATAGTATACATACCTCAGAAAGGAAAGGATATTGACTCCAGAAAAGGGCTATCAAAATGAATTCGTATACAATAGTGCTAATGATAGAAGGCAGAACCCTCCTCATTCATTCGTTCAGCAAATAAATATTTATATTGGAACTTTTTCAGATCAATGGTAGTTAGGAAAACATGGCCATGTAAGTGATATGGAACATAGAAGTGGCTGAATGTGGCCGGGGGCGGTGACTCACACCTGTAATCCCAGCACTTTGGGAGATCGAGGTGTGTGGATCACTTGAGGTCAGGAGTTCGAGACCAGGTTGACCAACATGAAGAAACCCCGTCTCTACTAAAAATACAAAATTAGCCAGGCGTGGTGGCACATGCCTGTAATCCCAGCTACCTGGGAGGCTGAGGCAGGAGAATTGTTTGAATCCGGGAGGCAGAGATTGCAAGAGCCGTGATTGTGCCATTGCATGCCAGCCTGGGCAACAAGAGTAAAACTCCGTTAAAAAAAAAAAAGGAGAAAGAAGGAAAGAAAGAAAGAATGAAAGAAAGAAAGAAAGAAAGAAAGAAAGAAAAAGAAAGAAAGAAAAGAAAGAAAGGGCTGAATACTGACCAGTGGTGCTGAAGCTTAGTTTCCGGAAGAAGAAAAACCCTCCATCAATCTGCCCTGAGGTCATTTGTTTCTTTCTCATAAAAAGGTGGAGGGAAGCATGTGCAGCTGCAGGACCTCTTGGGCAGCTGCCTTTCTGCAAATTTAATTAATGAATCAAAGGTGAGTGCTGTATCTCCCAGGTGCTTTCTGCCCTCAAATCACCTCTCTTGGTGCTCTCTTCAGTGTCCTTTGACACTGTAATAAACAAAGCATCCTATATTCCTGCATCCAGCGGAGCAGACTGAGTGTCTCCTCACCCTCTCCTCTCTGGCTTGAACTAGGTGTGCTGGTGGTGAGCAAACAGAGAGCCCTCTTCTCCAGAGACATGGCTAGGCCATGTTTCCCAGACTTGCCTGGTCAGAGATACAGAAGTAGAATCTCCAGGTAGAAGTCTGGGAAACTTTATTTGTAATACACACACCAGGTACTTCTGTAATTCAAAACATTTAGAAAGCTCTGTGCTATGGCACTGTGAGGTAAGTCAATACAGGCTTAAATTTCCTAAACATTAAAAACAAAACAAGCAAACCCACAAACTAAAAACAGGTAACATCACAATGTGACAAAGAAGAAAATCTAGAGATTCTGAGTTTCACTTTGCTAATAATCAAGGATAAATTTCTTAGCTTCTGTGTGTTGTATGTAAAATGAAGAGGTTGAAACAGATCCATTAATTTGTTCATATATCAGATTTGTATTGAGGGCCTGCTATGTGTTAGATTTTGTTCTATTCTCTGGAAACAGCGGAGAAAAAGTCACTCATTGACTGGCTTCAAAGTTGGCCCATTTTCACTGCACCATGAATCTATTCAATACTATCACCCACTAACATCCCATAGGTGATGGATAAACAGTACTTACTCTTGTCTTCTGAAATTATTATTATAATGCCCCATTTTTCCCCAGAGGGATCTTGGAATTCCAGCCATGCTCTAGGGTTGTTAAATCAAGTTCTGAAATCTGTTCTATTGAAATGAATGTTTTCCTAACAGACAAATGACCAGATTAATCCTAAGGACTAAGAAGAAACTATCCTAACTCCAGCCAACTTCTACCTGGCTTTCAGAATGAAATGAGTTGAAAAGAACTTACTATTAGATAAATGTGTTCTGAAGCCAAGATGAACAAGTTGAATAAGGTTTCTTCTGAAGTGAAAATATGACATGAGTTTTTCAAATATCTCAGTTAAGGATCTTACATTTTTTTAGGTGAGACTACAAAGTGCCCAGTTATGTGTGGCAGGTCTTTGGTTGCACCACTGGAGCTAGAAGGGGTACTAATTTTATCTTATTTATTTCAATATTTGGTTCTCATTTAACATGACTTCCTCCATTGAATCCCACCCAAAATTTGGAACACTTTGTCTTTAAGATTAAATCTGTAGTAGGATTAAGTGATGGGCTCCCTTGATGCCTTTTTAAGATTAAGTGAGGTGCTCCCAGATGCCTCTTGAGGTCAATAAACTTCTTTTTTTTTTTTTTTTTAGACAGTCTCACTCTGTCACCCAGGCTGGAGTATAGTGGCACAAATCTCGGCTCACTGCAACCTCCACCTCCTGGGTTCAAGCGACTCTCCTGCCTCAGCCTCCCCAAGTAGCTGGGATTACAGGCATGCACCACCACACCCAGCTAATTTTTGTATTTTTAGTAGAGATGGGGTTTCACCATGTGGGCCAGGCTGGTCTCAAACTCCTGATCTCAAGTGACCTGCCTGCCTCGGCCTCCCAAAGTGCTGGGATTACAGGTGTGAGCCACTGCCCCCAGCCCAGCCAGTATAATGAACATTAGCTGGGCACATTAGCTGGGTGTGGTGGCTCACGCCTGTAATCCCAGCACTTTGGGAGGCCGAGGCAGGCAGGTCACTTGAGATCAGGAGTTCGAGACCAGCCTGGCCCAGATGGTGAAACGCCATCTCCACTAAAAATACAAAAATTAGCTGGGTATGGTGGTGCATGCCTGTAATCCCAGCTACTTGGGAGGCTGAGGCAGGAGAATCTCTTCAACCCGGGAGGTGGAGGTTGCAGTGAGCTGAGATTTGTGCCACTACACTCCAGCCTGGGTGACAGAGTGAGACCGTCTAAAAAAAAAAAATTCATTGCACCAATTAAATAATTTCTCATCTCTCACACCCAACCCATGCTTCCACCCTTTCAAGTCTCCAATATCTATCATTCCACACTCTATGCCCATGTGTACACATTGTTTAGCTCCCACTTACAAGTGAGAACATGCAGTATTCGACTTTCTGTTTCTGAGTGGTTTCACTTAAGGCAATGGCCACCAGTTCTATCCATGTTGCTGCAAAAGACATGATTTCACTCGTTTTTCATGGCTGAATAATATTCTATTGTGTATATATGACACATTTTCTTTATCCAATCATCTCTTGATGGACACTTAGGTTGATTCCATATCTTTGCTATTGCGAATAGTGCTGCAATAAACATATGGGTGCAGGTATCTTTTTGATATATGAATTTCTTTTCCTTTGAGTAGATATATATCCAGTAGTGGGATTGCTGGATTATATGAAGACCTTAGATTTTAAACAATTAAATTCTTTAAGGACTGAAAAGCTTTTGGGATGAGAGAGTAACATTTTCTGTAGCTTTCTTAAACTGTCTTTGGATCTGGATTTATTGCTATTTTGTGGGAAATTTTAAATTCATAACTCAACTGGCTATGAAGAGCGGTGGTCTTAGGTTTCTCACTCCCACAGAGTATTATCTTTAAGGTCAAGGAGATAACTTAAAATTGGAATAGAGATCTGTTAGTAGGGGATAATATTCTTTTTTTTTTTTTTGAGGATTAGCTGTCTTTCTTTGGGGTGAAGTCTTATCCTTAGGCCTTTTAGCCATATGCTGTTATTTCATTTGCTAATGAACAAGAAAAACTTGAAATATTGTAAAATATAGCAAAATATAAAGTTGGAAAGTAAATTCTATTTTGTCTTTAAAAAGGACAAATCCATTGTCTGAAATAACATGGGAAAAATGTTACCAAAAGCTGCCAGGGTTGACTGAGAACTTCCAGCATTTGAGATCCTTATTCAGAGGCATGGGAGGAGAGAGAAGGCACATGCTCTAGGGCTCTCAGCTCATGTGCAATGTAAGCATATTCTAGCCCTGCTGTATTTTGATGCTGCAGTGGCAATCAAACTTGCTATTTTAGTGGGGAAAAGCATTCTAAAGTATATCATCTTGGGTAAGTCTCTTAATGTTTTTGATTCTTAGTTCTTCATCTACTAAAAAAGACAACAGCATGCACAGCAGAGCATGCCTGTTAGGATTGAATGGGAAATCATAGAAGAACTGTCTTACACAGCCTGGCACAGAGTAGGTGGTCAAATAATGTTTCCTGGATCTATGACTGTGTATAATAGAGCCTGCAAGGGCATATATCTTAACCATAGAAAATAAGGTTTGAATTTACAGGTTATTTAGACTTAAAATGTGTCTTGTTAGGACCAAAGAAATATTGTTGGAAATATGTTGGGTCCATCTCTGACGATACAGGAGTATATCAACTGATCCTTGGCAGGCTTGGATTAGAGGTACTCAGAGGCTAGCCCATGGAATGATTTGAGGTTCCCACCTGTAGAAATGAAAATGCATAAATGTCGTAACTCTTCTTGTGTGTTACTGGGCAGGCAACTCCTGTTCCATACCTCACTCTGCCACCTGCAATCTGATGTGCTGTCACCTCTTCAATTATCTAATCCTTTGCTTTGATTCATTCCCTTACAATGTGTTTGTCCTCTTGTAAAAGCTACCCATCTTGCACAGGGTTGGTTATAGACTTCATATCAGATTTCAAGGACTGCAAGATTTGATTCCTCCCATCTCCTCAGTATTTTATGATGATTTGACATTGGTGAAAAAACAGGCATCCGTCGTTTTATTACAGATGTTGCTGTGCTGCAATAGCTCTTTGAAGTTAACACAGCAAACAATTATCCTTTTGTCTTAGTGGCGTTTTCATCTTTGTTATATGTTTTTGGCACCTAAAATCAGGAAAAATTGGAAGAGTGGACAATAAGGCTAGTTATGTTTTAAAATAATTTTCCTTGCCTCTTATCTATGTTGCATCTGTACATGATACATTTATGACAGCACATAATTGAAGAATAAAAGTAAGAAGTTGGAACGAGTAATTTATTCTTTCAATACCCATCAAATTAAGAATTTTCTGTCTTTACAGTTCTTGATAATCTATAATTCTATCATATTTATACGTGTTCTGATTTTTTCATCTCTCTCTCTTTTTTTTTTTTTTTTGAGAAGGAGCCTTGTTTTGTGGCACAGGCTGGAGTGCAGTGGCATGATCATAGCTCATTACAGCCTCAAACTCCTGGGCTTGAGACATACTCCCACCTCATCATCCTGAGTAGCTGAGATTACAGGTGTGAGCCACCATGCCCAGCCCTTTCATCTGTTATAGTAACAGTCAAAGTTATACCTTAGTCAAATTTTGTCTGTATTCTATTAGGTCGGTGATATGGTTTGCCTGTGTCCCCACCCAAATCTCATCTTAAATTGTAGCTCCCATAATCCCCACGTGTCATGGGAGGAACCCAGTGGGAGGTAATTGAATCATAGGGGCATGTTTTTTCCTTGCTCTTCCCCTGATAGTGAATAGGTCTCATGAGATCTGATGGTTTTATAAAGGGCAGTTCCCCTGCACTTCTCCTTTCTGCCACCATGTGAAGAAGGAAGTGTTTGCTTCCCCTTATACCATGATTATAAGTTTCCTGAGGCCTCCCCAGCTATGCTAAACTGTGAGTCAATTAAACCTCTTTCCTTTATAAATTACCCAGCCTTGGGTATGTCTTTCTTAGCAGTGTGAGAATGGTCTAAAATAGTTGGTTCAAAAGTAAATGCAATTTTGCCATTGACAGTACTGCCCAAACCACAATTTCTTTTACACCAACCAAATAATTTGTGTTGGTTTTCTTCTTTATGCACTCTTATTATGTCTATCAAGAATATTTCTGTCAATGAGTATGTAAAACAATATTTATTAAATACCTACTATTTTCCAGGTGCCTTTTAAAAATTATTTTGATTGACCTTTAGTTATTATACCCATTTCACAGCTGAGGAAACCGTGGCTCACAGGACTGAGGCCCTTTCCAAGATTTTTCAGGAAGCTGCCTCAGCATGGTTTCTAACGCTCCCTCTTCATTAAAACAACTTCAGAAAAAGTCTATTTTCTTATGTTTGCATATTGAGTATTGGAGAATGTGTCTCTGCAGGGGTAACCTCTGGATTATATATGTGTTTTTGGCAAGTTTACCTTCCAGAGTGGGACCTTGGCATATATAATGATAGGTGCAGAGTGCAGAGATTCTGGGTATTTGTAGAGACTGGAATGGATGTTGATGCTGATTGTTAATGGTTAACCCAGCAGAGGAAGTACAAGAACCATGTGGTCCTTCTGCTCTTCACATACATTTAGAAATGCATTGCTAGTGTTGATTTAGCTTTACAGAACAGCCAGGGATGCAAACATTACCTTACAGTGTATAAAGAAAGACTAACAGAAAAAGATAGGCTGGGGATTCATTTGGACCTGAGTTCAAAGTACAGCTCCTCTACTTGATGGCTGTCTAATCTTGGGGATGTTAACTGCCCTCTCTGAACGTTAGTTCTATCACTTGTAGAAGTGGGGTAATAATGCTTTGCAGGACTGTTGTACAGTGTGACTGAGATATTGTATTTCAAAGTACACAATGGAGGCCTTGCACACAGTACGTGCTCTATCAATGTTAGCTTCTCTTCTTTATTTACATCAACTTCATGGAGGCTGGGATAATTGGAAAAAAACTATTTTATGAAGCTTTTGAAACTATTAGAAGAGGCCTATTTCTATCTGTGTGTGATGAGCTTTTGAAATACTTTAACCCATAAGTTCAATATTTACTTATATAAGATTCTTTATTTCTTACCATTTCTATTTATTTATTTTACTACTCCTTACTGTCCTCCATCTAGTTATCCATTCAAACAAGTATTTTTTGATAATGTATTATATAGCTAGCCATGAAGTCACGGAGAAGAAGAGACACATAAGATGGCTGTTTGTCTTCATGATAATTGCACTGTACTGGGGAAGAATCGAATACATGAAAATAACTCAAGAACAAAGAACTAAAAATGGTAAGATTTATCATATTGCCAAAGAAGTTTCTAGTCAAGGATATAGTTAGGCTTGAAGGAAGGAAAGGATTTGGACAGGGAAGAGAAGGTAAAAGGCATTCGAGGGTGGTAGAAATACATTGATCAAAGGACTGGGGGTTAGGAATGAACACTGAATGTAGGGAAATAATGAAGAAATCTTCCCCTAGAGCTGAGGTCAGGGGTGGAGGGCAGTGGAGAGGTAATTTTAGGATGGACCTCAAGGAAGAATAAATTTAGTGTATGTAGATTCTCATGTTTATAGCTTCTGTTTTCTTTCTCTCTCTTAATTATGTAAAAGCTGAGACATCTGGTGGACTGACCTGAATCCAGACAAGCTTTGAGCAAATTACTTATTTTCTCTGTTCCTCTGTTTCCTCTAAAATTGATGTGATAATAATCATCAATTGTGTGTATGTGTGTGTGTGTTCGTCTGTGTATCTTTAAAGCAATTTTTTTTTTTTTTTTTTTTTTTGCCAAGAAGAAGTGTTGAAAGACCAGTGAGAGAAAGTGAAGCGTTATCCTGAATATTTTGTGTTGGGATCAAATACTCATGGGATTGTCAATTTTTGTGATATATCTACAACTTAGTTTCTGCAACTCGGAGGACATCCTGAAATAAAAAATAAAGTTTTATGTAGAAAGAATAACAGTCAAATTTAGGATATGAATTTGGATCTTTTGATTCTTGAGCAGTAAAAAACATAGTAATAGAAGATCTTGTCATTTAAAGAGTAAAACAACTCCCCCCACCCCAACTGAACCCACAGCCTTGTCTTTATAGAAACTGTGTTTCATTTTAGTGGGCTCCAGACATGTTTAATCCTATACTCTAATAAATAAAATTATTATTTATGACTAGATTACATAGACACACACTATATATAGTTAGATATATATACCAGTGTATCTAATTGGAACATCTGTGTAACTTCTGAGTGTGTTCCTTGCTTTACAGACCAAGTTTCTGCCTAATGGATCTGATTAGTCTAGATGAAACATGCCTATAGCTATTTTTTATTTTTGTCTTTCCTCCCTTCCCTTTAGAAACAATACGTTGCGGCCCATTGACAGATGTTCTATAGATAGTTAGATACAACATCATGAGCTATTCTCCAGGTGGTTGGATAAAATGATTCTTACTTCAGGAGGGAGGCCTGGGTTGGAGACTGATGGAGAATGGTGATGACTACTGTTTATCACCATAAGAATGATTTCTGCCCTCCCCGGAGGAAGGTGTATACAATGAGAATAGATCCTTCATAAACTCAACTTTTAAAGGTAGATAAAAAAGCAGAGGCCCACAAAGGAGCCTCAGAGGTAGAAGAAGGTGTATAAGAAAACTTGAGTGTGTGTCAAAGCCAAGAAAGTAGAGTTTTAAAAATGAGGGCACACACACACACACACACACACACACACAAAGTTTTAAATGCAAAAGTAGTTCAGTAAGATAAGAATGGAAAAGGATACTTTTGATTTGACATCTAGGAGATTACCTACTTTCTAAGTGGAGAAACAGTGTCAGTGAAGTGGTAACTGGAGAGTAAGTGGGAAAGCAGCAAACAGAGAGAGTAGTGTTTCACTAAATTTGCAAGAGATAAGGAATAAAATGGGATGAGAGAGGAAGACAGAGAGAGGGAATAAACCAATAAGATATTCTATATCTATCTCTATCTATCATCTATCTATCTATCTATCTATCTATCTATCTATCTATCTATCTATCCATCCATCTATCATCTCTCTATCTATCTATCATCATCTATCATCTCTCTATCTATCTATCATCATCTATCATCTATCTTCTATCTGTCTATTTTAAGAATGACTCCGTGTATTTACTGAATTGCTTGCTCTGTCTGGGTAGTCCCTCTCCTCCTGGTAAAATTTGGCAGGTTTCAGGCTGATGTCTTCTTCTTAGGAGGTATTAATAACAGCTTCAGCTGGATACCTACTGCTTTTTGTGAATACATACCCACAGAACTCTTATAGCACTTACCACGCTGGTAGTTATTTATGTGTCTGTCTCTCTGGATAGATTTCGAGCTATTTAAATTAAGACACCATGTCTTCATCTTCAAACTCCCAGTTCCTACCACAGTGCCCAGCATGTGTTAATTGCTCAGATTTGCTCCTGGAATGTGTGAACACACACAAAAGGCAAACAGACAAGCATGGAGTCCTGTGGGAAGGTTAGTCTGGCAGCAGCATTGAGGGTAGATGGGGGGTGGTCAGGGTAAGGCTGGAGGCAGCAAAGCCCACTTGGCGAGCTGTGAAGGTTCCCTAGTTAGATACCTAGCTTGGTGCCCTAACTCAGGGAATAAGGAAGAAGGAACTGTTTTAAGAAACACTTTAATAGGAGGCATGCCAAATTTAAATTAAAAAAAGAGAAAATAATGACGGATAATAACAGATGTCTAATCTTTAAAAAAGGAGAATAATGAGAAAAGTAAAATCGTGATCATGGTGATTGGGGAAAGAGAGGGCACAGCACTGGGAGGTGAGTCTGGTTTCTGTTCTGTTGGGTGGTCTCCTGAAAAGTCTTTCATTTTTGTCTCCATGTCCTGTTCTTGGATCTTCCCCAGAAGCACGCTGTCTTTGTTTTTGTACGTGTGTCAAGCAGCCATCTCTTCTTTCGTCATTTTCTTCTGAAAGAAAAAATGACTTCCACGAAGACTTTCAGCAATGATCCTCCGCTGACATCAAAAACATGTCAGAACAAAGCAAAACCTCAAGCTCCCAAGATTTAACAAGCACAGGCACAAGTCAGCTGAACCCGGAACATGTGCCTTAGGAATACTTAGTGTTTCCTAAGAACATTCCATTTGTTGGTCAGGAGTGATGAATTATGTGAACACTGAATTCATCTGCCTTGATTTATATATTTATTTAAAAAAAACCTTCCACATTGGGGTGTTTACCCAGTGGCAGTAGAAGAGAAACCCTTCTTTTCAGGTTAGATTAACCTCACTCTTTTTATGAGCTCTTACATTCATAGAAATCGTTTGATAAGAATTAGAAACTACTTTGAGGCCTCTGTCAATTTTCAGAATAAGAAGGATGAAAAGAAAGACATTATGAACGGGAGAGCAGCTGATTATTTGGAAGGAAGTGTTAGCTGTGGTTCAGCATTCATCACCATCCATTCCTTGAACTTATCCGTCAGAATCTTTTGATGGCCACCTTCACTTCTTTTTTCTTTTTCCTTGCCACACCAGTAAAATCAGTCGTCCCCTCAGCAATAAGCACGTAAAATGACTTCTTTTGTAGAACAAACTCTTTGCGTGTAAATAATTTGTTAGCCCCCTCCTCCCTTCAAGCATTGTGTTGGGAAAAAATATCCAACATAAATTGATTGCATGGATAGCCTGATTGTAAAGCAAGATTAATAGGAAGACACAAGGAGTCTGCAATAAAACCTACTAACTTAAATCATTCACATTTGTGTACAAGCGTTCATGTTAGCAACAGTCCCAAGACTGAGATTAAAGCTGTTCGGTAGGTTACTTCAAGGCCTTTTTATTGCTAAATCTTATTACGTCTCTAAAATGTAGAAATTAATCACCTGTCATCAAAGCTGCAGCGGATTATTGACTTCTAAATGTCTCTACAAATTGATTCATGACAGAATGAAACAGGAGACTGAACTAGCATTGAAATTCTTTTGCATGTGATAAAAAAGGTCTATTAAAAGCATTTCAACAAATGCTGCCTATTAGGTAATCATCACAAAGTACTTTCCTATCAAAATGAGGTGCTTCTGGAATAGTTTTGATGAGATACATTTTTTTTTCTGCACTAATATGGTAACATGAAATTATTCTGAAGCCCCGGGAAGCTGATTTGGAAATCCATTTAATTCTTATATTACAGAGTGCACAACTTATTTTTTAGCACTAACGCAATAAAAAGATGGGTAGGAAAAAATCCACGTATGTGTGTGTGCGCATGTATGTGTCAAACAGACTCTAGATTATTCATGTTAAAATTTTTAGAAAACATTTGTAATTTACCATAGTAGAATTACAATAATTTTTGCAATAAGGATCCTCTTCAGTAGCTCATTAAATTCTTTGACTGTGCTCTGGCTCCTTATCCCTGTTAGTTAAAATCACTGATTCTCAAAGTGGGTTAATTTTCTCCCCCTTGGGACATCCTGCTACGTTTGAAGCATTTTTGTTTGTTGAAACTGATGTATGCGTTTGAGTACTACTTGAATCTAGTGGCTAGAGGCCATGGATGTTACATATCCTATAATGCAGAGGACAGCTCCCTCTCCCACCCTGCAAAACAAAGAATTATCCAGCCCAAAATGTCAATAGTGCCAAGGTGAGAAACCTTGGTTTGAATTAAGAGGATCTCAGGAAAACATTCCTTGAATTGGAGCAGGCGGAAGTTTAAGTAGAATTCAGAATAATTTTCTTTAATCAAATTTACTTCCTTATTACTAGCCCTTCCTTCTTAGTAAACACTTAACTGCCAATGATGGCTTCCTTCCTTTTCAGAATTTTCTCACAGAGCTTCTTACAGCCTATTCCTTGCCATTTCTGCACTCTATGCACATCAGCCTCCCCCACAACCCAGTTCAACTCCTTATCTTTTTTAGCTCTGTAGAGACTGAAAGGCCAATATAAGAAATGGTCATTGAGCTAATCACTGATCAAAATGAATTTTGATTTTTAATTATCATTAAAGGATAGGAATTACTATTTTTGATTAAGAGGAGAGAAAACATAGCAGACCTCTATTGGAGACTTCTGTTTTGGGTTTCTGTCTCAGAAGACTATCTACTTGACCCAATTACTCAAAACCATTTAGAACTATCTCACAAACCTAGATAACCAGCTTCTGACAACATGCAAGTTTAAAAAAATTGTTTCCACTGGACTGTGAGTTTCACAGTCAAGAACACTTTATTCTTCTTTGTATCTTAGTGATCAGATCTCTGAATGAGTGAATTTTATTTTAGTCCTTAATATTCAAGTATAACTTAAACAGAGCACACAATTTAATACATAAAATCTTGTGGGTAGACTACAACACCACACACATGTCTTATAGGCAGAGATGTATTTGTATAATATTGGTAAACACTTGTTCCTACCCACCTTATTGTCTACACAGTATGTGTGATATATCACACTCTCTGCTGTCTCTGGCCTTTTATCAAAGCTTGGCTCTTTCCTTGGGAGGCATTCTACTACTGCTCCTTTTGCTTGCCTGCTGCTTAGTTCTCCTCTCAGACAACCGTTCTTCTAGGACTACTCATGACTGAACTGGAGCCTTATCCATGAGCTCTTATGGTCCTATGATGTACTAGACCTGCCTGTTAACTCATCTAGATTTTGCTCTAGACAGTCAGCTCCTTGAAGACAAGGGTTGTGTCTTAATCACCATAAACTTTCCTGAACTCAGCATATAACTGAACTGGCACATATTTGGCACCCTGCAAACATGGGGAGTGAATGGAGGGTAAGGGAACATATCATTTGGACTAAATTAAAAATCTCTTCTGTCAGTAGAGGTAGCACAATTGACATGTTAGAAACCTGCAAAGGGTTCTTCTCCATAAAGACCCATGGGGATTTGGTACTGCTGAGACATGACACAGAGTCCCCAAACCAAGGTGCCTAGGTAAAGGCAGCTACATGTATTTTGTCTCCTCTTTCTGTCCCCTACATGCATACTGTCCCCTCTTCTTTAATGCATACATGTCCCATAATGCCTACATGCCCCCTGCATGCATGTCCCCGACATGTCCCTTATGTGCATACATGCATACATGTCCCCCACATGCATACTGTCCCCTTCTGTCCCCTACATGCATACCGTTCCCTCTTCTCCTTCATGGAGAAGAATGACAAAGAAAAACCTACCAAAGTAATACATGACGGCTGGTTACAGAGCCCTGTCAGCTGCTTTACATTTTAGCAAGGAGAGGAATTGCATTTGTTCTTCAATTTCTTGAGGAAATAGAACGAAGTCCATTAAGTAGAAAATACAATGATTATTTCAGAAAAAAATAGATTTAGGAGAGTTCGAGCCATCCAAGACAAAAAGGACTGCTTTGGGCAAAGGGCGTTCCCCACCTCCACAATATGGGCTGAATGGGGCTTGAGTGAAGATGCTGGGAAGGGGATGTATGTATTCAATAGGATATTGAACTGCTTCCCCCATAAGGTCCCTCATCAGTGTAAGATTCTGTGGTGTTGAGACATGTTCCTGCAGTCCATAAATTGTAGGAGAACAGAGCCTCAGGTCTTATGAACCCTTAGTATCTCCTCCAGGATGTCTAAATGTACTGCCTAAGAACGTTTATAACCCTCACCCCAGTAAAGAGGGGATCGTCAGAAGCCCCGCCCAGGCTCCTGCCATCGGAAGATCTCACATTCCAGTCCACAAGAGCTTTCCACATATGAAGGGCTTTTGATCACCTGGAGACCTGGAGCTATTCCTCACCATTAGCTTTACTGTTATACATCAATATTAACAGAATTCCTTACCTAGCTATACACTGTAAAATGTATTTCCATTTTTCCTCCCTCTCCTTCCCCTACCACCTTTCCCCTGCTTTCCTCTTTGGGTCTCACTTCTCACTTCCAGTGAAATATTCAGTACATTGCGTAAAATTAGAGAGATGTAGGGAAACTAATATGTCGTCTCTGTGGAAGATTCAGATATAAGCAATTGTTAGGCCATGGAGGTAAAAGGTTTAAAATGGAATCTATAGAGATGATTATGATATGTAAAAAGGGCTTTTAAACTTTGGACCTGATTTCTCAAAGAGGCTGGAATAAACCTCAATTCAGACATAACAGCTTCAGGTGCAGATTTACCTGTGCTGTTACAAAGACTGAGCACTTGTAACTGCTTTCATGCATGATTATTCTATGACATTCCTCTTCAAGTCTTCTGAGAAATCTCTCTGGATATAATCTTGGGAAAGAGTTTCCAGTAATCATGAACTCTCAGGCCCCTATGGTCTGATTGCCACCAATGACTGCAGTGTGTATTTTATCTGTGTGTTTATGCCACGAAGTTTTCTCTAGTTCTACTTTTTTCTTCAAAAATGCCGAGGTTATTTCTGGCACTCACATAACATTTACAGGGAACTAGTTAAAATTTAACTGATATTTGGGGAAAACTTTTGTTAACAAAGACTGTTTATGCAAAACTACATCTCATAAAGAATCTCCAGTCTTTTTGAAGACAGAGAACTTAAAAGCCAGCTTTTGGGCTGAATTCATATGTCTTTGTCTCTCTTTCAGTTGATTTTGGCAACACCTCACATGTAACCCAAGACCAAAATAAAGTTACATTCGGAAGACAGTCACAATTCAGCGATCTTATCCTGCAGAACTCTTTCACTTGGCGTTTACATCATATAATTTGGTAAAGCGGTTTACACATTTACTCCTGTGATTTTCAAGGGGCTTTTATGATCTGCCAAGTGGACAAATGTCAACAAGCTTTAAGGATTGATTTACCAGGATTTCTGTCTCTTGTGAACAGATTACTGTAGCTCTGAATAAAACGCATGTAAACAAGCCCAGAAATCTTAGTGGAAAAAGCAGTTCCCACCAGACCTGGTGGCTTGATCAGGAATCCTAGTGGAGTTGCCTCCTGTCACTATGAAATCTTGGAGGGGTAACAGCTTTCCCTCTCATACGGCTGCCCTGGAAAGATTCCCTGAGTCTGCACAGCCTGTGTGCAGCCAGAGAATGAAAGTGGCGAAGTGTTAGCGCCCAGGAGCCTCCCCGCTCACAAGCTGCAGGTCTTGTTAAAAACTCCTGTTCTGTTTGTTCCTGGAACTTGCCAATGGCTCTGACCCTCAAGACCTTTTACCTGTCAGTCTAACCAGAGGCGATGCCCTCCTGTGGGCGAGAAGACTCAGTACCAGGCAGCTGACATGAAGTTTCAACTAGGAGTGGGCACTGAGTTGAACACTTTGGCATTTCCAATGTTTGGAAATGCCAAAGTTTTCTTTGTGAAATAAAAATAATGTCAAACCGCATCATTTGTGTCTTTTAATGTTATAGCAATTTTTGAGCTTTGATTCTGGTTCTTCTTCAGCTTTATTCATGAGAAAGAAAATGAAGGATACGGGCTGTTGCTCTTCTGGGCTTATCATGCTCCCTGTCACTCGGTTGCTAGAGTGGGGACCATGCACTCCATGGTACGTGGGCCTTTCTGAGGACTGGAGTGGGGAACTGGAGAGGGAACTCAGGCCCACATTACCCCTACAAGGGCATTCCCTTAGAACTAGAACTGGGGTTGCTGTTAGCATCTTCCTAGCTGCCCCAGGAATACGGGAAGAACTAGACAGTCTCATTAGCTTATTCTTCTTCGCAGCTCTGTGTCCAGATTAAGGGAGGCCTAGAAAATCACCATGCTCAAAAATGAGTTAAAGATAGATTCAGGCCGGGCGCGGTGGCTCACACCTGTAATTCCAGCACTTTGGGGGGCTGAGGCGGGCAGATCACCTGAGGTCAGGAGTTTGAGACCAGCCTGGCCAACATGGGGAAACCCCATCTCTACTAAAAATACAAAAATAAGCAGGGAGTGGTGATGCATGCCTGTAATCCCAGCTACTCAGGAGGCTGAGGCAGGAGAATCACTTGAACCTGGGAAGTGGAGGTTGCTGTGAGTCGATATTATGCCACTGCACTCCAGCCTGGGTGACAGAGCAAGGCTCCATCTCAAAAAAAAAAAAAAAGGCAGATTCACCCTAAAATTTATGTTTGCTGTAGATTCGCACAAAGTATTTATATTTTCCACTTACTGTTTTTTTCATCTTAAAGAAACGAGTGAATGTCTGTTTAAAAGGGAATACTACTACCAAAGTCTATCTCATAAGTTTGTTGCAAAGTGAATTTAGAAACATATATGCCTGGCACACAGGAGGCTGACACAAAAACCTTCATACTCACTCTCCATCCAGGTAAACCTGAGGCATAAATTCCTGCTTGTGTGGGCCACTGACAACTCACACTGGCTCTTTCAAATCACATTCTAAGCCCTGTTGGACTGGCCCCAGACATATGACATGGGCTGATTGGATTGAATTGGAACTTTCAGTTCTGCCTTGAATTGGTTCCCCTGTGTAGACAGTCTGTGTGATATCAACCCTCTACTTCAGGGAGAAAGAGGCTGTTTGGGCATGGGTATTATTTTCTTAAATGCAGAATAAAGCGGGACCAGCAGGGTATTTCAGTGAAATATTTCCTTTGAATTTTCCTATTCATTTGCTCTTTTATGCATTCACAGCTAGGGGTTTCCAGCTGATCCATTTGATTGCTCTCATGTACAGATTGTAAAGACAGCAAAGAGGGGATTCCTGTAGATTCTTAACTTGTTAACAAAGGCTGCTATGACTGTGGCAAGCCCCAGAGCTGACAGCCAGTTTCAGTCCTTTGTAGGGGTTAAGAGAGGGAGACAAGGCCAGGAAAGAGGAGTAGGAAGTTTTAATAGAGATACTGAATCTGAAAAACACCAGGGCATAAAGAAGGGCCAGAGGGAAGGGAAGCTGTGAGTCCTGGAAGCACCATCCGTCCACAGGCTTACTCTGGACTTGGAGTCCCTTAGCTCATTCCTTCTTCAGTCTCCTGTCAGAGCAGATGTTCTGTGAATTGACTGCCTCCCTTGTGGCCAAAGCATTGGTCCAAGTCTCAGGAGACCTCAGGGCCAGGCTCAGTATTGTCAGCTGTGTGGTCATGGGCATACTTTGTCACTTTTCTGTGATTACTTTTTTAATCTGCAAAAGTCACACACATGGATATAAAAGGGGTTGCTTTGAGGTTCAATTGCAAAAAGATATATAAATAAAGTACTATAAAATAAATAGTATCATCATCTATTATTTTTCTCATGCAGAATCTACAAATGTGAATGTTGTTATCCTTAGTTTCTCACTGGGGAGCACCCTGGGGTTGGGAGTAGGGTAGAGAGCATGGTGCAGGTATAAACGGAGAAATTTGAGGCTAATTGGATAGTACTCTTAACTTTGAAATAGACACTGAAGTTGGCTTGGTTATCACTGTCCCGGGTTAAATATCAAGGCACCTATCTGTATGATGGACACAGCCTGATATATTCCAGCCTGTATTCCTTTCTAAGGACAAGTCTCAGAGGTGTCCCCCGGCCACAGAGCTAACACGGTAGAAGCCTGGCTCCTCTCTGCTCCCTTGGTCTCTCGAGATACCTTCTGCAGTAGCACAGAGCTGTTTACCAGGCCTCTGTTTTTGAGCTTGAAAGGTTTTCACTCAGGCTGGCATACACGTTTTTGACAGATTGAATTGACACATGCAGAAATCACCAGTGGCCTTTGGGTCTCACTGTGGCCGTCGTGAACCTGCTTAAAGTGCCTGATGCCTGCATTTCTCTTTACTTATCCGGAAGCCATTTCCTACCAGCAGCTCCTCCCTCCGCTTCCCCAAACCAAAGAGTCAAGTCTTGGGCATGGGTGGATAACTGGGAAAGGTGAAAAGCAAACCATTAGTAAAACGAGTTAGTTCTTAAAATGCATCATTTTTGGTATACCCACAGGACTTCCAGTTGGCAGTTTCCATGCTGCTTTATAGCTTGCTTTAATTTATCTAACTAATGACATGAAGGATATAAAATGGGTAAAACTATAATGTTTGGCTTGCTTAAATTAAGTTTATGAGTTTTGCTTAAGCCTGCCAAACAAGTTAAATATTTCATGGCTTTCACAGGCTATAGTTCTAATATTTATAACTCTTGTGTACAGATTTCAAAAAATTATAATTACAACTCCCAGGATCCCAGACACAGCAGATGTTCAATATTTTCTACAATGTTGGCAGAAAATGCTTCTCATGCTCTTTTTGATCCCCTACCCATGTATTGTATCTGTTGGAACAAGCTGTTGATAAGAAAGTCTACTGTCATTCTTTCATTTTAACGACCTTGGAAAAAACTCTAACATGAAATAGGAATAGAGATGGAAAAGGTGATTTCTACCCTTCTATAAAGATATTACTGCATGGAAATAATGTTTTACCTAATGGAGACTAACATAAAAGTGCATTTTGCCATGAGAGGCATTTTATTTACTTTATGACCACAATGATTTTCTGTATAATTTCCATTTTTTCCCTAATTAAACATGCAAAATTTCTTTCTTGTCTGGGTGACTGACTTTCCTTGGCCCCTTTAACGAAAGATGTACCTCATTTGCCCTTCAGAAAATCTTGAAAACCCTCTATCAGTCACTTACTTGGGTTAAGACTTTGTAAGTTTCTGTTTAAAGGAGTTGTGCTATCAGCTCTGGTCACTTTAAGCTCTCATATACAAATTATTAATCCAATTTTTTGCTGTTATAGAGAGACTCAGAGAGATTGGGCACTGCAGAAATTAAATTTAGGTTCGGAAGTTTCTGGTTCATGAGTTCTAGAATGCCTTGTGGCGGGATGCAGATTTGGAGAGCTCTGAAGTATTCAACTTCCTCTACTTCCCAATTTGCCCAAGGCCAGTCTTGGATGGAAGGAAGACACGGTAATTAAAAAATGAGATAGAACTGATTCTATTTCTCACTCAATTCATGCACACAATAGCAAAAAGAGATGTGAACATTGACATAGATTTTAGTTAATTTTCTTAGAGTTTAAGTATGTGAAAGACTTTGAAACTCACACTCTTGTAGAATACTATCTGTACATATAATGTACAAAATATATCTAAAAATAAAAAATTCCTGAAAAATTGATAAACCTCAAATTCACAGATTCATGCATTTTTCTTCCCACAGCGCCTTCTCTGTCTTCATTGTTAGAATCAAACTTTAAAACTACTCTGTGGTGGCCAGGCGCGGTGGCTCACGCCTGTAATCCCAGCACTTTGGGAGGCCGAGGCAGGCGGATCACGAGGTCAGGAGATTGAGACCATCCTGGCTAACACGGTGAAACCCCGTCTCTACTAAAAATACAAAAAATTAGCCAGGCGTGGTGGCGGGCGCCTGTAGTCCCAGCTACTCGGGAGGCTGAGGCAGGAGAATGGCGTGAACCCGGGAGGCGGAGCTTGCAGGGAGCCGAGATCGCACCACTGCACTCCAGCCTGGGCGACAGAGCGAGACTCGGTCTCAAAAAAAAAAAAAAAAAAACAAACAAACAAACAAAAAAAACCCCACAAAACTACTCTGTGATGAAATGAAATGTGACTTTCCAAAATAACTCCTAGCCCAAGGAGATGCCAGAGGAGCTTGCCTGAGAGAGGCATCACCACTGGAAATGGACGTAGGTGTTCTTTGAAGAACCCAGGAATTGTAAAATGCGCTCACAGGAGTGACTGCACTGCTAAGGAGAATGAGCTGGTTCTCAGAAGGCAGCATGGTGGAGAGACCCCAGGTAAAGCAGACGTGTCTTCTGGATGGTATGACATAATGCTGCCTTGCCGCTCACCTCGTGAAGGGGCAGTAGCCTGCTTGCTGTGTAGACATGGCCAGGTAATGCAGGCACACAGTGGCTCCTTATTACCGGTTTCTTGAGTGTACTGAGAACATTTCAGGTGAGACATCAAAACCCAGCTTTAAGAGTGCAGGCTTGGAGGGCTTCATCAGCCTTTTCCACCTCTTCCCACTCTTCCAACGGTGCGTTCTCTGGGGTTCTTAATTCATTCCTCCCTGGTAATACTTCAGGGACAATATGAACGAGAATCTGTCGTCAATTCTGTCTCGATGTCACTGTTGGGAATGGGGAAACTGACAGAAGCTCTTTCTGGATGCTGTGAATTTTCCTCAGGACTGCCCTGAGAAATAACTTTTTAAAAATTTTCCATAGGTTTTTGAGGGAACAGGTGGTATTTGGTTACATGAGTAAGTTCTTTAGTGGTGATTTGTGAGATTTTGGTGCACCCATCACCTGAGTAGTATACACTGAACCCGATTGGTAGCCTTTTATCCCTCACCCCCCATTTTCATTTCCCCCCGAGTCCACAGACACCATTTTATCATTCTTATGCCTTTGCATCCTTATAGTTTAGCTCCCACTTATGAGTGAGAACATACGATGTTTGGTTTTCCATTTCTGAGTTACTTCACTTGGAATAATAGTCTCTAGTCCCATCCAGGTTGCTGTGAATGCCATTTAATTCATTCCTTTTTATGTCTGAGTAGTATTCTATCATACGTATATGTATATATAGCAGTTTCTTTACTTTAATCCAAGCTGAGGACTTGTGTGAAGGCTCGGCTGCTCTGTAGGTATGGAAATGTAGGAAAAGGGCATGAACTGCAAACCCAGAAATGGGTGTGCTCTGCACTCCAGGGAGGTTACCTAAGCAGGATTATAGAGATTTCATTTTTGAAACAGAGAAAACAACAGTTCTACAGAGTTGTAGGATTCCAAAGTGTATTAAAAGTGCCAGGCAACTAGCAAACACTTCCCGCCTACTTCCCAGAATTCCCTCCTCTTCGTGGTTTGTGGGTCTTGAGCGACATTTTGCACGAGATTTAGAAGACACAAGTGAAATTGCAGCCATCTTTTTGGGGCTGGCGTTGCAGCTCACACACACATTGTCACCTACCTTTTGGCATCCTGGTTGCCATGGGCATATTTGGGTCCTCTGGATCTCCTTCTTTGGCTTCGTTTTCCTCCAGGCAGGCATGTGTTTATTTACCGGATAAGGATAAGCTTCACCCGCAGAACACCCTCATCATTAAAGGTGGAGTCTTGGAGGTCGTGAGACACTGATACGGTTTCTGGTCCACCTTCGCAGACTCCACTCATCTTTATGGGTTCCATTTTGTCCCGGTTTCCCTCTTTGCAGCTGTCTTTTCTTCCTGTCTACCCGTCCTGCTGACTTCAGGCTTCAGCACCAAACACAGAAGCAACAGCCTCTGCATTCTGTTTAACATCCTCCCACAGTGAAGCAGAGCCAAAGCCCCGTATAAATCCCTTAGTATGTATGTGTTTCCTAGGGGTTCTGCTTCTCTGTTTGAACTCTGACTCATATATCTATCAAAATACCCAACATAGTTCTCTGCTCATAGCAGACATCTCACTCATTTCACTTCATTCACAGTCATTTGGGGGGAGGGTTAACTCTGCTGGACGCTGGGGTTGCGAAGACCAACAAAGTAGGATCTGATTTGCACACAATCTAGTGGAAGCAAGTAAACCTTCCATATTAATATGATTCTGGCAGCTCTGCCCCATTGGCCTTCTTAGCCATGAAGTTGGATTATCTGTTTCCCCTGGGACAGTAGAGCTTGCCCATCCAGACTCTGGCCATGTGGTGATTTTGACATAGAGGAAATCCTAAATGGTGATGATGATTTCCCAGATATTAGTACTGCTAACATTTTACATGTCTAAAGCACTCACACTCCAAAATCTCTTTTCAGTGCATGATTACATTGGCCCTTACAAGGACATCGTGAAGTGGTCAGGGTGAGTATTATCGTACCTATTTTATAGATAAAGAAGCTGTGGCCCTGCAGCTGGATTTGCATTCAAAATTTCTGACTCTCAGGATAGAGCTCTTTCCACTGTGGTGCAGATTTTCTCCTTGACAATCCCAAAGGAGGACCTTGTTTAGTAAAATGAAAAGCCCAGAGGCTTTAAAGACTTGTAGATTGTCCTGTATAAAATGCGTGATTATTTGAAGGCTCACACATATACCATGTTGTCTCTTGTTTTCCAACTTGAGTAATGCCTCAAGCAAAGTCCAGGCCCTAGAGAAATCAGTGTTTAAATCCTTACATGCATTTCTTTTGGATACCACCTAGTATTCATAAATAATAGCCCGTTTCTTAAAACCCAGCACCCTACATATTCTCATTAGGCATGCCTTATGTGTGCTTTCCTAACAAAATTCACTTAATAGCCCACAGAGGTTTGTTGCATTGGATTTATCTTGCTGCCAGCTTCCAGAAATGTGTAAATGCTACTATCTCCCTTTTTCCTTTCTGGATTTAATCTGATTTGCTTTCTCAAAGTTGAAATAATTTATAAAACATTTTAAAGCTAGAGAACCTGAAGCAAAGACCATTGCTGTCTGAAAGAAGAAAAAGAGAGAGATATCCCAGGGGGAATGTTAAGGGCTCTGTCTTACATTCTAATATACAGTATGCATTATCACGTATTTTGGAAAAATCTGCATTAGGCATGTGCATGCAAGTTTTAGTAGGTGATTGTTCATATTATGTAGCACTTTACACCAACTGCTCAGAGAACAAAACAGCACCCTGAATTGAGGAATTGATTTGCAAGCTCATAATGTCTGAGATGATCTACTTGTAGTATTCTCTTATTTAATTTAGCATGAAGTGTTACCTGAGAAATCGCAGGTCCTCAAATACATCCAAAGACAATTTAATGCTCATCTAATTCCTAAAACATAGTCATCTCTGGTTGAGGCCAGTGCGACAGGGTAGTGTGGAACAAGCAGGCATGGTATGAAATGTTTCATAAATCTTCATATAGGATGCATTTGTCATTGTCTCCAAAATATTTTAATGTTAACTTCTTCCTTTTCTGTTTCTGTTTCCCTTCTTAAAAATCATCTTAAAGGTTGCTGAACGTATAAGGAACACTATAGAATTTTACTAAAGTCACTAAAACTCAATGTAAAATCACTAATGGTGTTAGTAAAGCTACTGTTTTCCCATAGGGCCAAAAAGCATTATTTTTGTGTGTATGTCTGTGTTTATTTAGCAGACAAGAACATACATTTTCTTCTGTGCTTTAGTAAAATTTTCTCCTATATATAGGTGAAAAGTTCAAGTAATCTAATAAAACAAAGCAAAACAAACAAACAGAAAACAGGAGCAGCCGATTTGAAGGATCAGGAAATGCTGTCAATATAAATGTCTGTTGTTGATCTTAATCCTCAATCTTTATTCTTAGTCTGAGTTGTTTATCTCTACCTACTAGAATAGAAAAATGCAGCAAACCACTCACAATTTTTTTAAACCACTGCTTAAGAAAAGGTCCTTAAACCACTGCTTAAGAGAGGTCCTTGATATCTGAATGCTTTCTCTGAGAAATAACCTTGGAAACATGGAAAACTTCCAATGCAAATTTATATCACGGCTAATTGGTATATGATTGTTAGAGGTAACAGCTAGCCGCAATGATACTGATAGCAGTGTGATTCTTGTGGATCTTAGAGGAGAAATCACAGTAGGCTCATTTGGTCTCAGGTGGATGGCTTTTAGACTTGCTATTGCCTGTCTTATTGTTTGCAGATTTCTGTTTGCATAATGAATTTTATTTGTCTTACAAGAGAAATTATTTTACAGATCTAAATAGACTAAGAAAAAGTTGAGGATAAAAGTGCTGAAAGAAAAAGGGTTAGTTTTCCATGCTGCTTAAAACAACAACAGTAACAACAACAACGACAAAACACACTTTCTTTAGAAAACGGTGTTTCCAGGTTTTTTCTCTTAGCATGAGTTCTGGATACCTGGGATTGAGAGTACTGGAGACTTCCTCTTCACTATTGATACGGTTTGGCTGAGTCCTCACCTAAAATCTCATCTTGAATTATAATCCCTATGATCCCCACGTGTTAAGGGAGAGACCGGGTGGAGGTAATTGAATCATGGGGGCAGTTCCCCCATGCTGCTCTTGTGTTAGTGAGTGAGTTCTCACGAGATCTGATGGTTTTATAAATGCGTGGTAGTTTCCACTGCATTCATTCGCCTTTCTGCAGCCTTGTGAAGAAGGATGTGTTTGCTTTCCCCTGTGTCTTCTGCCATAATCGTAAGTTTCCTGAGGCCTTCCCAACCATGCTGAACTGAGTCAATTAAACCACTTTCCTTTATAAATTACCCCGTCTTTGGGTAGTATTTTTATAGCAGTGTGAGAATGGACTAATACAACTATATTCCCATTTATACATTTTGAATTTTGTATCATGTGCATGTATTACCTGATTAAAAAATAATGTGTAATTTGAAAGCAGTTTTTAAAACAGGTTGGAGCAATGCATTAATACATTTATTTTTGTTGACACTAAATGGCTTTTACTGAGTCAGCTCAATTCAATTTAACAAACAACTGCTATGTGCCAAGCTCTGGACTAGGCTCAGGGGGCTGTTTACAAAGGAACCTGCTTTCAAAAGGAGCTTAACATCCTAGTATGGGTTAACAGAGGCTATTCCGTAACTCAAAGCCTCTTTTTGTTTGGACAAGTGTCTCAGCCAGTGTTCATTGTTCAACACAGCAGAAAGCAGCCTCTCTCTTTGTATATCAAATTGGTTACCTCTGGGGAAGTTCTTTTATACATCCACTCAACAAGCAGAGTGTCCGCTACATGCAGGGCCCTTTGCAGGTGACTGATGGCAAGCAAGTCTAGTTCCTGCCCTCAAGGGGTTAACATCTAGGTGAGATGTAGTTTCAGTTCTGTATTTCCAGTGTCTCCTGATGTCTGAGAATAGGTATTCGAGATCTATCCTGTATTTTAAACAAATTGTGACTTAGGAGATTTTGTTAGATCAACACTTATTCAACAATGGGTAATACTCCTAAAGGCTTAGTGTAATGCATAAATGGAATATTTCAAATGTATGTGGTATCTCTAAATAAATCATTCCTTGATGCAGGGATGGGTCATTTATGGGATAAATATATTGAACCCAAATAGGATAAGTGAGCTGCTTTAAGTTCTACACTTAGCTCAATTAGAGCCATCAGACTTCTTTCCACAGTAGTTGAATTATGCAATGTGATTTGTTGTTAAAGCCCATTGCCTGAAAATAGATAACAGGAAGATTTTTCTTTTTTTTTATTATTATACTTTAAGTTCTAGGGTACATGTGCACAACGTGCAGGTTTGTTACATATGTGTACATGTGCCCTGTTGGTGTGCTGCACCCATTAACTCGTCATTTACATTAGGTATATCTCCTAATGCTATCCCTCTCCCCTCCCCCCAACCCACGACAGGACCTGTTGTGTGATGTTCCCCACCCTGTGTCCAAGTGTTCTCATTGTTCAGTTCCCACCTGTGAGTGAGAACATGCGGTGTTTGGTTTTCTGTCCTTGCGATAGTTTGCTGAGAATGATGGTTTCCAGCTTCATCCATGTCCCTGCAAAGGACATGAACTCATCCTTTTTTATGGCTGCATAGTATTCCATGGTGTATATGTGCCACATTTTCTTAATCCAGTCTATCATTGATGGACATTTGGGTTGGTTCCAAGTCTTTGCTCTTGTGAATAGTGCCGCAATAAACATACGTGTGCATGTGTGTTTGTAGCAGCATGATTTATAATCCTTTGGGTATATACCCAGTAATGGGATGGCTGGGTCAAATGGTATTTCTAGTTCTAGATCCTTGAGGAATCACCACACTGTCTTCCACAATGGTTGAACTAGTTTACAGTCCCACCAACAGTGTAAAAGTGTTCCTATTTCTCCACATCCTCTCCAGCACCTGTTTCTTCCTGACTTTTTAATGATCACCATTCTAACTGGTGTGAGATGGTATCTCATTGTGGTTTTGATTTGCATTTCGCTGATGGCCAGTGATGATGAGCATTTTTTCATGTGGCTGTTGGCTGCATAAATGTCTTTTGAGAAGTGTTGATAACAGGAAGATTTCTAACACTTGCAATGAAAAACATGAATTCTTTAATTTCCATAAAGTTGGGAGGAATCTTATTTATAGCGGCAAACTAGCATCAAGAAAAAGGAAAGACCTAGAGAGAAATATTTGATTAGAAAGGCAGGGATTTTGGAAGCAGAAGCCATGTCTCCTGTGAGGGAGATAGTGCTTAGAGTTCTGATTTATTTGTTTGAGAAAGATAATGTCTTTTTTTTTTTTTTTTTGATGGTAAGAAGATTGTTAGGCTGAAAAAATAATTTAGTCCTAAGACATTTTTTAGGTTCTAATAGTTTACTTAATATTTTTAGCCATTCCTTTAAAAAAATCACAGATATGAAAATAAAAAGGGAACATTCATATGTTTACATTGTTAATGTGATATAGACATTATTGGCATGATAGCTACCTTAGTAATATCACTTTTGGGGGATAGTTCTGAAAATCAGAATATTTTCTAATTGATTCTACTGTAAAACATCATTGAAGTGGTATCTGCTGTCTGGCTTAGTTGTGGACTAAAATAAAGCCATAATTCTGAGTCTCCAGCAAGGTTAGGCCTTACATGGCAGGCTGGACAAATTGAATCTTAAAAGATTTAATCTTCACTGCTTTTTTTTTCTTTGGAGCTGTCCTTTTCCAAAAGCTAATGTAAGGATTTTGGAACTTGAAATATTTTATGTTGTATATTTATCTTTGTTTTTTATAAATTTAATAGTCTGTAGGTTCATCCTCCAACACTAAAATAGTAGAGATGAAATCTGATTTGAACCATTCAGCTTTGTATTGCCAGTGATGTTATTAGAGGAGCTACAAGAGGATTTCCCTAAATGGGCATATAAATCTTACAAATGTGAAGCTGGTGCTCCAATTTGTATTCCAAGTAATAGGAGCCTTGTTTGAATGAAGGCGTTGTTGTAATGTTACGTTGATATTAGAACATTGACGCTTAACCCAGTGACTCTTTAGCCATTAGGAACTCCTGGATGTGCCAAATACACTTGGCATTTTTGGCTTACTTTGCTTCTGACCAAAATTAATATCATTAAGTCCATAATGATATATGAAACATATAAACAGGAAACACAAGGAAATTCTACAAGGAAAAATAGGAAGAAAATACAAGGAAGTACTGAAAAGATCATCATCTAAGGAAACAAAATTCATATGAACAGCAAAAAGATACTGTTCAACCTGGCCCTCACTACCCACGTGGGCACTTAGCAATCTGGCACCTGCTGCAGTAGCTGTAAGCCCCTTGCCTGAGGAGAAGAACTGTTTCCAATTGGTGTATATTGTTGGGTCCACAAACAGGACTTCCTGGGGAGAATGCCAACGCCAAGGACCAGGATTTTTGTCATTCAGATTGAAGGGCTTTTCTTACAACCACCCTAGAGCAGATTTTTCACAATCTTTTTTTGGCTCCATGTCCCCTGAAGATGCTCTAGACCAGTGCTGCTCAAAATGGAATGTGCATACAAAGCACCTGGAGATCTTGTTAAATGCTGCCTCTGGTTGAGCAAAATAGGTTGGCATTTCTAACAAGGTCTGTTGGGTCTGAGTGACTAACCGGATCCTGGGTGATCCTGACCCTGCTGATTTTAGCATGTGAAAATCCCATAGACCATGCTAAAATCCCAAGACTTAACCAGAAGCTCTCAAAGGGTGGTCCTGGAAAGCAGTATCAAAACTACCATGGTGTAAATTCTCATGCCTCATCCCAGACCTAATAAATCATAAATTCTGAGGGCAAAGCACAGCAGTCCCTGTTTTAACAAACCCTTCCAGGTGATTCAGATACCTCCTTAAGTTTGAGAACCAACGCTTTGAAACTAGTGGTTCTGGACCAGGCCTAATGAGCTGGGTCTTTGAAAAAAATACCAAGTCCAAACGTGGTGACTCATTTCTGTAATCGTAGCACTTTGGGAGGCCCAGACAAGAGGATTGCTGGAGCCCAGGAGTTCGAGACCAGCCTGGGCAACATGGTGAGACCCTGTCTCTTTTTCCGAAAAAGAAAAAAGCCCGTCCAACTTAGGAGGGTAAAACAGCATTATTATTATCTCTATCTTACGAATGAGGAAATGAAGGGCAGGTGAAGTAACTGTCCACCATTGGACAGTTAGTGGGCAGTGAGGCTGGCACTGAAATCTAGGACTTGTTACTCCAGAGTCCTTGTTCTCTCTACTCCCCTAGCCTGTCTGCTGAGGGTATTTACAGGATGGAATCTGAAAGTGGAGACTGATGTCATTTGTACTGCTCTGCCTACAGTCTGTGGCCGAAGAGCCCATCAATCTAGGTTCTTTCAAGAGAACTCTATTCTATGAGGTCTTTTACATCATTTGGCATTTCTCCCCATCAGTCACCAAGTATACACTTAATTTCTCTTTAAAAGCCACCTGGTTTTGTTTTTTGTTCATGTGTATGCCTTTTTGTTAAGTGGATGAGGGATGTGTAATCTATCTCATGCATAATTTGTTTAAGACGAGTCATTAAGAATGCACTAAACTTTAATATGCCATATATGTTCCTGCTAGCATTCTTTTCCCCACGTAAATGATTTCAAAAGTTTTAAAAATAGTTTTTAAGGTTTTATTGCATGATATTGTTTGCAAGACCTCATTTTAAAGCTCTAAAATTAACGTTTCTTTCCTATCAATTTTATCTTCTGTTTGCCTGTTATTGATTTTTTTCCCCCTCTGCATGTCTAATGGAAACAGCTAATGGGTCTTTGCTTTGTTTATTCCCTTGCTTATGCAGCAGCATTGTTTTGATGTGGTCAGCACAGATCTAGGAATAGGGCTTTGAGTGGCAGCAGAGAGACTTCACCAACACACAGAATTTTATTTGCGTAGATTCTGAAATAATCCTCTGTTGCTCCCTTACATTGTCACTGTTCCTTTTCGTTTGTTTCATTTAGTTGTGCTTTGGTGAGGCAGCCTCGTTTTCCTTCAAGGATATCCTTGTGAGTGACAACCACAAAAGATATATATCCTCCTTGAATGACTAGGAAGATCAAACTAACTGCCACCTGTGAGAAGCTTCACCCTGATTCATGAGGCAATCACAACTTCCGACTAATCCACCAGCACCAGCTTTTTAACCAGGGAGAATCCTTGAGGGGTGGGGGTGGGTGGCAGGACGCTGATTGCTGTATTTTATCTACCAACCCACAAATAATTCAGAAAAAGTGCACCTTTCACTTATTCCTTAATAAATGCAAGATGTATTTATTGAGGTTTCTTTCCTAGGGATAGGGAATGTGGAGTTTAAAAACGTGAGTGTTGTCAAAATCCTTCAGGCGGATGATTGCATCTTGTGTCAAATTTCAATGATCTGTAATAATAAGCATCAAGTACAGAATTAGAGAAAAATAGATATGCAGAGGAAAAAGCAAAAAGGAGTGGACCCTTCCCTGACAAACTCACGACACAATCATTTGTTGTTGAGTTCCACTCTAATCTATGGATAGATTCAACCTCAAGATAATCACTAACCTTTACATATTCAATGGTTTCTGTCTCTTTGCCCACCAAATCTTTTTACCAGACTCACCAGCCAAGCTGATCTGGCCTCTGATGCAAATATTAATGAGCAGTGAAATGGCCCAGAGACAGGAAGCAGGAGAGAAGGAAGGGGAATTGATAAGCCACAAATGGATAATTATTGTCTAAATAATTAAAAGCTGATGCTATGCAAGGGAGGAACACAGCTCAAAATACTGATGTGACAGAAAATATATATTTTCACCACTTGTGGAATTCTCATCTGAACTTTCCAGAAGTTATCAGAATGAGGCCCTTTTATCAAGTGATTCCCAACTTGGAAGCACCCGCTTCTTGCTGCCAGTGTGAGCCTGTGCCAGCAGAGGTGCTCACGGAGCGGGCGAGGACCGGAGCGCCGGCTTCAGTCTTGATTTGTTGTGCAGCTTTAAACAAGTCATCTTATCGCCAGCTCTCTATTTTCTTATCTGTTTAGCCAGGATTATGTTGGCTGCTCACCCAGCAAATATATTTTAAAGATTAATGGAAGAGTGCTGGCATAGTAACTTTGAACTCCTTATGTCAAAATAATATGCCGTTCTTGTTATACTATTAAAATTAATAAAGAAATATTGAACTCACTTTTATCAAAACACAGAACAACACTAACCCACATGCCGTATCCAGAAGACCTAAGTGTTTGGTTTTAATACTTGCTTGAGGTATGGAATGGGGAAAGTTAAGTATAGCTCCAGGCCAGTATTTTCTCTTAGAAGTCTGTTGCACACATCACACATCTTGAGGATTTTCTCCTAATCAGTTGATTGGACTTCTAAAATGTTTCTTTCACTCCACTCTTTTCCTCCCTTCACTCAGGAACCCACCACCTTTGTTCCTAGCTGATGAGAATTGAAAGGGGGCTGCCTTTGCCCATCAACTGTCTGGGGCTACAGCAGTTAAACTTTTTTTGGTTTATGTTCAGTAATCTTGGAGGGGTGAGGACAGTTGCTTTCATTTCACTTCCTGAAAGTGTATGAGGAATTTACTATAGGAAATGAACGGCTCAGAGAAAAAAAATAGATTAAATGGTTTTGCTCATGGAGGACTCATGTTGTTTGTCAGGGATAAAAAGTAATTTGACTTTGTTGGTAGCTTTTCAAAATTCTTCAAATATAAAAATATATAGCCGCATGTCATATTACAAGTGAATAAATATATTTTGGGGACTTAACAATGTAAACAGCATTGACTAGGTCCTGAATAAAATGTAAAATGGATAAAAGGCATAACTTCAGAAAGATTACAGTCAAATTAAATAAAAGAAACTATGCAAAATTTAGAAAATTCTCTAAAATTAATGCACTGATCTCTTCAGTAATTAATATCTCAACTAAAAAGCCACAGCAAAAGGAGCTTTTAAGTCACTCAATACACACTGTGTAAATCTTTGTTAATTAATGCTTGGCCTCTCATATTCCAAGTATTTTTGGGTTTGATTTCTTCCAAATGTTGTATAAACCTCACTAATTATATGTACATACTGAATATCAGACCATATTAAGTTAGCATGAAGGTGCAGCTAATTCAGAAAGAGAATGGGACAAGTATTTAAAAGTTTTCCATAATTTGAAAGAGGCTTTTAGGTCAGGAAATGAGGACTACAACATCTGGTTAAAACTAAAAGAGAATTTTAACTAATTGTTCAAGTTGGACAATAGCCAAAACCCTGGAGTTAGCACACCTGGATAATATCTGTATAATGTTTCTAGAGAAATATATTCTGGTAAGGAAGAAAATAATAAAACTTTTAAAGACTAATGGGGGGAATAGAGAACTTTTAGGAAACAAATTTATGAAATAATGTTGTATAATCATGTTTCAAGCTTTAGAAGACAAACCAGGTTATATGGAGAAATAAAAGAAGCACCATGAACCTGTGTGGTTAGAAAAATGTCTTTAAAGTCTTGTTATGCAAACAGACCAAGGAGGTTTAACACTTCAGTTTTCTTCATGTGTGACATATACTTGCTATCCAGTGAGACAGATTTAGATTTACCTTTTGTTTCAATTCTGATAAATATTTCAGTTCTCCTAAAAAACAGAGAGGCATTACATCTGAGGTGAGTTGGTTAGTGAAGACAAAGGAGGAATGGGAGGAATTTCAGGCTGTAGATCGGAAGCAGGAAAACTGAAAATCCTTAGAAAATGTGTTTAGTAACCCTTAGGCATTCATGTTCCTCAGTTAAAAAACAAAGGAAAAAGAAAAACCTGCCAAGGTATTTAAATATCATTTACTGAATGACTGAATTAAAACAAAAAATCTAGCTTTCACAGTGCAATGGCCATACAAATGGATTTCATACGCTTGTGTTTTTCAGAGGTGCAACATTGCTAGTAGTATGGAGACAATGTATGGAAGCCATTTTAAGAACTATGCCCTTGTCGATAAGACCATCTTTGGTTCTTTTTCTTCATTCCCACCATTATATATGATGACTTGCTCAGACTGAATACCTCGGCTGCTTCTTGGAAATTTGGAAACAGAAGCAGAATTTTGGTATATAACTGCAAATTAAAAAGGATGACTAATAGCTAGGAACTGTAAACCAAAACCATAGTTGCCACCACCAAAGTTATAGTATTAATAAAATTATAGTATTAGTGAAATGGTAGTATTAATAAGGTATGACACAGCCAAATTATAAGCACTAACCTGCCCATATGTATATGATGCCCAAGTGGCAAAATTATTGACCCACTACTGATTGGGTTTTAAAACCAGAATGAAACTTTAGATTGCTAAAGGTAAATTTCAAGCTATATCTTATGGATTAAAAGATGTAAGATTCAGGTAATTATAAATACTAGATATAATTAGTTTAACCTCAAATAAAACTTAGAAATAAATGTTAAAAAGGGGAATTTACTAATCAGCCTGTAAAGAATTGCAGGATGAGCCATATTGAATAAAGAATAAATAACGAAGAAAAATCTGATTACTTTCTTGATAGAATTCTGGAAGATTAAGTCAGTGAAATTGGTATATTATACTTTGATTTTGGTTTTACAGATCATGAAATTACATTTGCAAATTTTATGCAAATTTACTAAGAGATTAATGTTGTCATGTTCTGTAGACCTAGGAGAAAGAAAATCCTGTTAACAACATTGGTTAAAAAATGTACAAAGAGATGCCAAGGTCAGGGATACTGTGTCCAGAAGAACTAGATGGTTTCATTCTCTTTATAGCCACATTTCTCACCTTTTCCTGGATGCACATAGCCCATAAATGGTTACAGCTGATTACAATAATGGGCCGGGGAAGTCAGCACACCTACTGACAAAGCTGTATGTGGTATCATCATTATATCACCCATTCTTTCAATAAATACATTTTGAACACTTACTGTATAGTCCAGGCATTGTTTGAAAGCCTTGGAGATATCAGTGAACAAAACAGATGAAATCCTTTCCCTGCTGAAATTTATATTACAGTGGGTGGAGGCAAATAATAAGCATAATAAAAATGTAAATTGTATAATATGTTAGAAGGTGATATGTGCTGTAAAAAAAAAAAAAAAAGCGGAGCAGGGTAAGTTTATTGGGTGTGTTGAGGAGTGCAATTTAAGGTATAGGTCTAATTAGGAAGATAACATTTGAACAAAGACTTAAATGTCATAAGTGAGTTGACCGTATCAGGGAGAAATGTGTTCCAGGAAGAGGGAACAGACAGCATGCAGGTCCTAAGAAGGGAATATGGATCTGGGGAGCTCAGTAGTAGATGAAGTCAGAATTAACAGGGGACCCAACTGTGTTAAGTCTTTTTTGGCCATTGTAAGCACTTTAGCTATTATACTGAGTGTTAGAAGAGTCATTGGATAGTTTTGAATAGAGGAGAGAAATGATTTAACTTGGTTAAAAGGATCATTCTGGCAACTGTTAAAAAAAATACTCTAAGTGGACAAGGATAGAAGCAGCATGACCCCTTAGAAGGCTCTTAAAGCAACACAAGGTTTGCTTTATAGAATGTAATTATTTTAGGAGCCACAACCTTGAATTTTATAGCCCAAATTCCATGAAGGCAAATATTTTTATTTCAGTGTACATTTAAAATTAAATTATTTCCAAGAGTCATTTATTGAAACACTATTTGATCCTCAAATTTTCAAGACCATAAATCAAATACATAATTTAATTAGTGTAATGATTTATGTGTGCAATACTTTACAGCTTTCTATATGCTTTCACAGGCAAAAACTTATTTAAACCATGCAAAGACTCTGTGAGGTTGGAGAGCTGATTATCACTATTTTGTCTAAGGTAAAGATAGCTTATGTAACTAGTTAGTAGCAGGATCAGGATGGAAAGCAGGCATTCTTACTCTAGGCTTAAAGCTCTTTCCACTCTATCTCTTTGCTTCAGACAAGTCTTTGGAATTTGTTCTGTAGGACATGATCTACATTAAAATTATTGTTAATGACCTACAAATGAAGGGAATTTTCAGAAGATATTAAATCAGAGGGGAAGGGGTACTGCAGAGGCAATTAATGAGAGAGAAATAATAAAAATCAATCCTGATAACTTCGATACTTTATCTTCTGACCTCTTACTTTCACCTAAAAGTCACTTATTCAAATACTACTAGAAATTGGAGCTCACTCAAGGTCAAAACTTATGGTGGTGTGGCTACTAGCCATAGCTAGCTTTCTGTCAAAATTATCTTTAAAAGAGGCTAGGCTGAAGGTGCCTTTTAGGTCAGATATAAAGGTATTTCAAAAACCTTGGGTCAAACACACCTCTTAAAAAATTAAATGATGTGAGATTTGTCAAAAATTAGTAAGGTCTGTGAAACTCCATTTAAGAAGTGAAAGTATCATAGATCATAATGCTTGCCAGCCTTTTAAACGTTAAAACGCTTTTTTCTAAATCAGCTTGAAAAACAGTCAAGTTGTTACTTTAAGTTTCACTACCAATGGCTGTCGTTTTCCTACTTCATTCTCATCTCAAAACCTCTAAGCAGTCCTTCTAATACCTGCTGAACGAGCTATTTTATGATATATAATTTCAAACTCTCTAACAAGTTTAACAATGAGTGAGGATTCAGACTTTGCCTTACAGCTCTGTGATTCCTCTGCCATCTTGCAACCATGACCAGTCTCAGAAGCCACGCTTCCTAGGTTGACCAGTAAGCCCACTTGATTGGGCTCAGCTCTGGCTCTGGAGAATGCATTGTTTCTCCAAGTTTTCTTTGCTTGCAAGGGGAAAGCAGTGTGAAGAACAAAGTTTGGAAAGTTGAGGAGTTGCAAAGCAGACTCTCCGCATGAATGAAGTGGGCTAATCAATCGAGACTGTATAAAATAATATTTATTGAACTTTTGCAATATGTCAGGTGCTGGGTCTGATACTTTCACATTTTATTTCTCAACCCCATGAGGAGAAAGTAAAATATATTTACATTTTATATATAAATTGAGTCTCAGAGGCTTTAGGTGACTTAAGATTCCAACCAACAAGGATTGACTCCAAGTCCCACAGAGTGTATTTTTCCCCCACCAAACTGCCTCCCGTAATTGATCTAACCCCAGATCTTATGCACAATTCTCTGAGCCCTGTGGCTACCACAACCTTTACATTGTAACAGGGAGGTGAATGCCTTTAAGTATATGAAAATGCCATGTCCATACATATGTGGCTATGGATTAAATTGATTCGCTCATTGAGAAAACATTGATTGGAATGAGGACAGCTCAATGTAAATTGTGATGAAAACTGAAGTGAATTAGCTGGGAAAGATGTACATCCTAGGGCCACATATTGTTCAATGACACCTACCCTACATGAGTGTTCTTTATACAAAATGGAAGGCTCCACTGGCTCTCAAGAGGGATGATATAGCTAAAAGTCAGAATCCACATCTAGAAAGCCCCCTTTTCTTTAATTTCTGGTTTGGTTAAATACAATTACTAAAATGCAATGTTGTTAAAATAGGAAAAGAGCCACAAAAGAAAGTAAAATGATTATGCATTGGAGTAAAATATTGATGATTATTTCTGAAAGAAATGCTGACAGACTATGGGTGAAATCTGATTAGAAGACTAATGTCAGATAAATTAGCCAGAGATAATCTCTCCATATTGATTTAAATCACATCACCCAAAAGAATGGCCCCTCCTGAGTCTCAATGTTCTTTCTGCAATAATGACCTGGATTCAGAGCAATACCTGATATTCCACTCTATCCTCCTCTTCATTGCCCAGGAAGATATCCTGACCCTATTTGTCTTTCTTTCAAGTCTAGAATGTTGTTCTCTCAAGATCATTGTTTTCTTTAAATTAAAAACATAAAGACTTCATTTTTTTCCTACTGATAAGTCATATTCTGATATGCGTCATTTGTGTTGCTTTGGAAATAAACTATCACATCTTAAGTTTTGTTACTAAGTGCAGTAACACTCTACTTGCAGAAGTTACACAAAGTGAATTTATGAGCAATTTTATAACATAAAACCTCAATTTTATTATCCCCTATTTAATATTTAAGATCAATTTCTTGAAGGAAATAAACTACACTTGCTCAGAGATTGTCTGATGGAGGCAACCTTTCTTAGGCTTGCATGTTAAAATTTGAAAACATAATGAGGGGAAAAAAATCAAAAGAGGTGGAACCAAATTAGGCCTCTCTCCCTCGCTTCTCTTTCCTTCCTTTTCCTCGCCTCTTTTTCTTTCCTTCCACCTCCCTCCCCTTTGCTCTTCTATTATCCTTGTAACTGAAAAAGGCAATAATCTGAATAGGTAGGGCAGAATAAACAGGTATGGTCCCTTAGCATTTTAGTGTTTAAAAAAAAAAAGACATCAGTACTGATAAATTCACCCTTGGTGATGCACACAAAAGATATCTAAACAATGCTCTCAAAAACTGCTAAAAAAAAGTCTCAAGAGAAAAATATGTATTTTCATGATTCTAAATAAAGATGTTTGAACTAAATACACGTTAGTGTTTATCAATGTTCTTTCTATATTTTCTTTGCATAACAAAGGATTAAGTCTTTTGTTATGTAATTAATCAAGTCTTCTGGGAATCAGTTTATATGTGAAATGTTAAGGTTGGACAGGTGATGTCCAAAGTTCTCTTCAGTTCTAAAATACTGTGACAGTAAAACATCTCAAAATATTAGGTTTGGTGTCCTTACATGCTGCTCTTTTTGGATTATGAATACATCGTTTAACTCATGAGTATTACCTTTACCCACAAACCTTCATTTTCAAACCTGTTTCCTCAGGAGTCACATGGGATGAAATGTTAGCTTTAGCTCATCCAAATTTCAGGAAGATATATAAAGTGCCTAATTCCTGGTGGAAATTTAATAATAGTATTGATTGATGATAATGAACTCTACTATTAGAGAACTGGCGTCACCTTTCCTTTCATGGAAGATCACTCACAGGGAGGTGTGAATTTGGTCGCATGATAGCACAATCTTATCAAATTTTAGATCTAGGATGGTTTAGGGCTACCCTGCATTCACCCAGTGGGAAATAGAACAAGGAAAAAAAGCTCTCAATGGAAGAGGGAAAGGCTGCCTCAAAAAAGACTTAAGAGATAGTTTTGTTAGTTTTCCTTCTATACTATACTATGTTTATGAATTCTTTTAAACTTCTAAGCCAATAGCATACAGCACACGTAATAGGATCTAACTTTGCCTGTTTCAGACTAAAGACTCAAGACATTTTACAAAGGTTTCAGGTTCAGCAAAACAAAAGGCATTACATTAAGCACGTTTTTCCTAACTGTTAAGCACATGTATCCATGAAATTATATCTTTTGTTCATTTAGACAAAATCCACCTGGCAGGACCACTTTAAAATCTAAGAAGCCTTGTGAGTTCATTTTCCCAGCACAAATAACATATTTGCACTTATAAACTGAAACACAATATTTTCCCAAGAAATTAATTCTACATTTAGAAGTTTCCACTGAAAACAAACTATGGTTTTAATAAAGGTCTTGAAATGCAATGGCATGTGAATGTTTCTGTATCGGAGTACAACTTACATTCATTAGGAGTATGACTAAATTTCCTATTTAATTTTAGATTAATGAAATAAATACTTTAATATAGCCCTCTCTTTATTTTTTCTAATCCTAATATTCTATGAATGAACAGGGCAACAAGCCAAGCTCTGGGCTTACATTCTGCCTCCCACACAGGGTCAAAAGGCTAAAATTACTTAGCAAGCTATCCCACTCTTAGGACAAAGGAAGTTGTAGGAAGTCTTTTGGTAATCACAGAGATGTGATGAAGAACTCTTATAAGACAAATGCAGTGTTTTCTCTGGGGATGGGATGATTCACCATAAAACTCAAAAGCAGGCTACAAAATGGGTGCAGTGATCTGTTTTGGGGACTTGGGAATAAGTGACCTCACTCAGCTACAAGGGCAAAGTGAAATGATACCTTAGCAGTTTCCAACAGCTCAGAAAACTCCACTCTGACATTTCATTTTACCTCGGCAAACAACTGCAATGAAAAATAGCCCAGACACATTATAGGATATGCCCTTATGCATGATATTTTGTATCAGATATATCAGTCACATTGCAAAGGACTTAGATCAACTTAAAAAAAATAAAACCCAATAGAATGATTACAGCCGCTGCCTAGAATGACAAGTATTATCAACAAAAATTAATCAGGCGCATCTTTTAGTGAACTCAATTAATAATGTGCAACAACAGGGTCTCTTTTCTTAAGATGAAAATTAATTAGTGGAGGGAAGGTCACTTGGAGATGCTGACATCACTCATCAGAATGCTCTGGCAGCTCTAATTATTTGTCTTCCAGGCTTGGGTGATCAGAAATTATTGCAATACCTGAGCAACATTTTGAAAAAGCTTTGTGCATGGCTCTTTTAATTAGACCTGGTATTTGATTAATGCAGTGGAAGCGTTTAGATCAGCCTCTTATCATTGAGTGACTTAGAAGTTTTAGGGAATTATACTGTAGAAGACAGGGTCACTGAAGAGGTTTTGAATCTGTATATTTTTATTAAAAGAGTTATAATGTTAAATTCAATTTATCTTTCTCTTACAAGCACTTTGTTCATTGCCAAGCGTGATTATATGTGGGATAGAATTTATTAATTTGTATTTAAAACGTATTTTTGCCTCTCAGATAAAATAAGTATGCTTGGAGTTTTAGAAATAAACATTTCATTGGAAAATCTTTAATGACTTAGTGTAGGAAAACATCTCAAAAAAAATAAGCATAATCATTTCAAAATTTGATATTAAAACATTCATCAGGCTCTTTCATGTTCCGACGTCGCAGGCTTATAATGTGAGTATAGAGACACAGTATCTTGGGAAAATAGACCAAGGAAAACATTGTGAGGCTGACACTGTTGATATAAGTGTGTTTCATGAGTTGAATAATTGAATTTCCAAATTTATGAGGATTAAAAAATGAGCTATAGTGATAATACTTGTCTATATTAAGTGTGTAATACTTTAAATATGATGTTTTGGCTTTTAATGCAATTGTGTATGGCATTCATAGCCATAGTAACTTTGCAGCTGATGTTCACTTAATATATTAAATGTCAGCTATGGTTTGGATATAGAGTTCTTCAAAGAACACAGGATGAAGTGGAATTAGGGTCACTTTCATAATAGCATTTTTGTCTGTAGGGGGATATATTCAAATCTTTAAAACAATGGTTTATAAAACACATCTAACATTGTACCTGACTTTCTGTGATTGAAGATTCATTTACATGAATGTGTTAATTTAATTTTTACCTTTTATTATAGGATGGAGGGTGATAAGGCTCAGCTAGGTTGACTCTTCTGTGGAAACAACGTGGAGGATGGCCTGTGTCTGGAAGTCCCAGCTCAAGATGATGGTGAGTGAAGTACACTCTTCTCCATTCCTCCTCTACTAATCCAGGGGAGGCATTCCTGTGAGGTTGACTTTACAAAGACAGAAATACCGTGAAATATGTTTTTTAGGATTCATAGCAATGGAAGGTGATACTTCTTATTTTGGGAGGAAAAATCCCCAGCACTCTGTCTTATATTTGTCCCATCTGTACGTATTGCTCCTATTCTTTTTTCCTTTTTCTTTAATACCATGCAGGTTCTCTGGCTGTATATAGTACTCTGGGTTGTGATTGCAATAGAAAATCTCAGATAGACAAAAGTATCCAGACAACAAATCTCCCTTCAGCCCATCTCACCCTACCTACCATCTCATACCCCTCCCAAAGTCAAAAGCCCTTCCTTCCTGCTGGAGGAAATAATTCTAAAGTAGCAAATGTTCTCCAGGGGTTGATGGGGCTGCACTTGCTGGGCAAAGAGGGAATAAGTAATTAGTAGGGCCCACATTTGGGCCTTGCAATTTTGCTGCCCATTTACCCACCAATCCAATAGTACACGTGTATATATCTATCTATAAATAAATATATAGATACACATCTTTTTTGAAGAATACGGTTTTATGTACAATTGCTGAGTCAATTAGAGAAGCAGCATGGGGGTAGTAAAAGGAGATTGGCTTTAGATCAAAGAAACCTGGGGTCAAGTCTTGAATCTGCAGTTTAATATCTGTGATTATGGGTGAGTTAATCTCTCTGGACCTTGGTGCCTTCACCTGAAAATGGAGATAATAGCCCCCATCTCATGAGGCTAGGGGTGGGAAAATTAATTGAGATAATGTGAATTACTATAGAGATAATATGAAAATATCTCCTATAGTGATCAAAACATTGTAGTAGCTCAATAAATGTTAATTCCACTTACAATCTCAGGTACTGATGTTTGATTATCTTTCAACTATTTGTAAAGGGATCAAACTGCCCTGCATTATTTTCAGTTTTATAGCCCATCTTTAAACTGGGATGAAGTACATTTTTAAGACATAAATATAAATACACCCTTAAAAATCAACAAGTTGATATTTATATAGCTTAACTATCTAGCTTATATAGTTCAAATTATCAATATTAGAATTATCTGGGATATAACTATGATTTAGATATTTAAAAATGAAGTAACTTATCCTACACTTATGGGTAAAACATTTTAGATACTTATTTCTACTGATGAATTATGCATGCAAAGGCCAAATGGGGCTCATTGATTTATTTTCCCTCTTTTATGCCTTGATTTTCAGGCTGTGTGCAAAGCAGTGTATATTTTTTCTGTCTTGAACTCCCACTGACTATAGCATGCTCATGGGGCTCTTCAAGTGGAGGAGACACGCAGCTTTGCTCACGGATGGCAGTTTGGCCTATAAAGCCAAGGTGGTGAGCGGGCATTTGGGAGAAAAGATTTTAAAATTAGTGTCAGATGTGGAATTACTATGCTGAAGTACAACATCTCCACTTAGATGTCAATTCTATTCACACTTCTATTGTACCTCTAAAAAACCCATCATTTAAGAATCTTAAAGACTTAAAATTATGATCATAGAGTTGACATGCAAAATAACAAACCTGGATAACTTTATAAATTTAGCAAATATTTATATAGCACCTACTGTGTACCAGACACTATTCTTGGTCATTATAAAGATGAATGAGAAAGAAAACCCCAAACTAGGAGTCACATGGAGCTTCCAGAAGGCAACAGATAGCAATACGTGAGAGGAAAATGCCTTTAAAAACATGTATTTGATAGCTTTATATATTAATTGGTATTACACCATAGCACCTACCCTGAATGGTGAGAAACACCAAGTCACTAGTTGCCAATGAGGGGGAGATTTTCTGTTGCAGCTTCCTGTCAGATCTTCTGGTTTAGGGGATGGTATTCCATTGTGAATGGTTGTGTTATTGGGCTGACTGCAGCCAGTGCTGATGCTCTTGTATGGGTTCTCAGAGTCCTTAATTTACAGGGACTATCCCTAGCATCCCTCCTTTCCTGTTCCCAGTCATTCCGGAGCTTCAGATTGAGGTGGGATGGGCTGTCCTCTGCTCCACAGGCCACTTGGAGCACTCTGGTGAAGCCTGGGCCACGGATTAGAAATCTGGAGACATGGTTTCAAGTTCCAAATCTGTGGCTAACCCACTATGAGCTTTCTAAGGTTGCATCTGACTCTGCCATTCTAGGGATATGTCCTTGTTAGACTGTGAGTTTACAGCATTAGCAACCGTGTGTAATTCATGTTTGTATATCTGGTGGTAAAGAAGGGATGGAAGATAACATTTCCCACATCGAGTAAAGATTGCTCCTTCCTTTTATGCACCTTGCTTATTTGATGTAGATCCAGTTTTCTATTCAAAGGACAGATATTTTACTGTATTACAACTAACTCATTTTATTGTTAGAAAAATTAATGCAGATATCATCAGCCAATGGTACCATGACTAATACCCCATTTAACTGTAGTGATTGAAATTTTTAACATTATTTAAAAATTTTCCTAAAATGTTGACCCTTGTTTCTTAAAAGTAGTGAACATAATTTGTTAGCCAGCATTTTGATCCTTTCATAGTAGAAATCACTTCTGATAATCACTAATTGTATGAAAGCATATATTAGTTGGCAGTAATTGATGGGCTACTGAGGGTATCAACTGAAATTCTCACTAAATATTGTTGAAAGTAGAAAAGTTTTGAAAATATTACATAGAAAAGCAAAGTGTCATCTAAAATATGATAAACTTTTCATGTAAAACTCTAAAGTGAAAATTTTCAGGGTAATGTTTTAGAGACATCGACATTGATTAGTTATTAAGTAGTACAAACCTTGGCTGGCTGTGGGGATTTAGACAAATCACTCCACTGAGAGCCTCAGTTATCTTCTCTGTACCCTGGGTTTGGGCCGGGATAGGCTACCTGGGCTCTGCAGCTTGCCGGTTCCTAGATCCTGAAAACGGTACTTGAATAACCCGAAGAATTGCAAAAGTCACAAATCTTCCTTTTAGAAGAAAACTCTAATGTATTTAGACTGCCAAACGACCTCAGATTTCCTATAACATCCATTTGTGTACTATAGGTAAACTGTAATTTCATTCAAAATTTCACAGTTACTTAAGAATATTCAACTTTAAGGGAATAACTCTTCCATTCCCTTCCTACTCAAGTGAACAACACTTAGGAAGACATTTTTCTAGGATTGTTTAACAAACACAAAAGTGCACCTAACTTGCCCACCAAGTTTTAAATAGATTATATTCAAAAGTGGGTAAACTTGAACTGCTTTCAGATTAGAAGTAAAATATGATACTTTTGAAAAGGTTCTATTATCAGTTGCCTGCTGAAATTTCTATTAATTTATAGCATTTGAAGCAGATTATAATAAATAAGCCCTTTACTTCTTAGCATCATACATCTTATTGTCTACAGGATCTGATGAGTAACTGATTAAATTAGCACAACCTTTCTCTGCATTGAGACACGGGACTTTATTGGCAATAGTATATATCATGTCTCAACAAATTCCTCTGTGATTTTTCTTAAGCCTGTTAGTTTGATTCTATTCAATCAATAAGAAATGTTCATAAGAAAAATATTGCTGTTAGATTCTTATTCTTTCTCCAGGACACATTATAGTTTAATTTGCCAGAAATATTTCTATGTATACACAATAAAAGCTTTCTCCGTTTGTCAAATATGAGGGTGCTAAAGTTATCATTGTCAAATACATCACCTCAGGCTATAAAGCTAACGATATGCATTTGATCACCTTGCCAACTGTTTTATATCTGAGAAACAAAGGAAACTACACATGTATATTAAAACTGATTAGCATTGTACCCTAAAGCAATTAAATAAATATTAGAAGAAACTCCCACAGCCCTTTGTTTTGCTATAAGGGGCTCAGCTGTGCTCCTTCTAACCCTAACTACATCACTTCAAATTACCAGTAAATTAACGGAGGAACACTTTCAACCTCAGAGCAGATTTGATCCAAATAGTCTTTAAATGCCATTTCTGTTCCTATTAACCTAAAGATCGGCATAGCAGATATTTTCTCGAGGCTGCCCAGCAGTCCAGGGCATTAACGGCGAAGTTGTGACAGCACTTTTCATGATGATTTATGATTCCGTGTTTAACTTGATTACGCCAATGCTGACTCTGAATACTATTTCAATTAGTGCACAGAAGGTCACATCACAAATATTCCTCTATAATCTATTCCTATTAACACTAATACACAGAGTAACCAAATCTTTTCACCCTTGTTGATTCACATCATCCATAGCCCTAACTGCAGGCTTGTTTACCAGTTTACTGCTTTGGACACTTCCGAAATGGTAATTTTCACTCCTTTGAGTATCGTTAATAGCTGTACCATGACACAGGGAATAAAGCATCTCTCTGCTGGCATTTGTGCATTAATAATTATCAAAGTCTCAGATTTATTAAACAGGAGGTATGCTTTCTAAAATGCCTGTCTAAAGCGTTATTTCATGACCAATTACTAAATAAATATACAAAAGATTTTTTAGGGAAATGAAACTGGCTTCCGCCTAAAATCAATTTTAGCAACAACTCTTCTCTTATTATTGCTCCCTTAACGACTTCAGGGAACTGCTCCTATTTATATGTAACCAATCATAATCCTGTTTTCTTTTCTTTTTTTTTTTTTTTTTGACTAATCTCTATGTCTAATCATTGGGGAAAACCGAGAATATTGGGTCATCAGGTCTTTCCTTTTTACCTGCAAACTGTTTATTAAACAGTCCCTGTGGTACAAAATTAAGACTACAAAGAGGAGCGGAGTTTTACTGAAAAAAAGTTTTCAATTTGTCCAAAGGTTAAAGTGAAACCAACTGCTAGAGACAAAATCCACACAGCATTTAAACAATTAGTGAGGAATGTTCAAAGACTTTATGTTCAAAGTGTGTACAATTTGTATTTTAAGTTGTATGTGGAGGGAATCTAGACTTAAAGTTAATTAACAGTAAACCAAGAGGGCTTCATCACAGACGTTTAACTATGCACAGAGAGGCTGGCGTCCAGCAGAGAACGTGGTGAGAAGTAGGAGTGGGAAGCTGGAATGTCACAGTGCTCAGTGGGTCCCCTGTAAATGCTTTATTAAGAATGATGATGTCAGCCTTGCAAAATATTAAAGGGGCCTCGTCTCAGTGGTTTGCTTTTTTTCTATTTTTTTTAGTGCCCTTAAATTTTTTTTTGTTTAATAACAAGGTATTTACAGAGGGAAAATAAAAAAAAATCCCAATAGTAAAGTAGCGTTTCACGGCTCACTATTGCCAACTCCTTGACAATCTAGCTTTTAGGGGGTCTCTAGCAATCAAAAATTATGTTCGTATCTTTATGTTCATATCTCTCTCAGCTGATTTTACTGATTGTTCATGAGAGATTTGCTGTAGGCTAAGTGCTTATTGAAGCAAGAAACAGCTCTCCTTTTTTGAGGGAGGAGCTGAATTTGCATGATTATTGTATTTTAAAAAGAACAACCAATCGAATTTATAACAATATCAATTGATATGGTCTTATTTCTTCTCAGTGTTTTAATACAATTGTTTCACATACTACTTCAGCCAAATGTAGACAGCTAGCCAATACTATGTATCAATCCAGCCTCTTTTCCCCAGGCACTAACTCACTTTCTTCCTTTCAGAATTCATTTCTTTCCATTGACTCTTTTCCCTAAATTCCACTGGTAGGTCATCTTTCAGACCTCTGTCCCATATTCCAAAGGTCTACCCTCTCCTACTAATCCTAGTTAGACTATTAACTGACAAGTCAGTGTCTAATACTGACTAAATGTGTAACCTCCTTCATAGTTTTAAAAAAGGAATCTTTGAGCTGGACCACCTTTATGCCTGTGATCCCACCTACTTGGGAGGTTGAGGTGGGAGGATTACTTGAGCCCAGAAGTTGGAGACCAGCTTGGGCAACATAGCAAGAACCCTGTCTCTACAAAAAAATAAAATAAAATAAATTAGCCAGACATGGTGTCTCACACCTGTAGCCTCAGCTACTCAGGAGGCTGAGGTGGGAGAATTGCTTGCGCTCAGGAATTAGAGGTTATAGTGACCTGCAATTGCACCACTGCACTCCAGCCTGGGTGACAGAGTGAGACGCTGTCTCTGAAAAACAAAGGAATTTTTGAGAATGTAAAAAAACAAACTACACTAGTAAAATGATGTGTAGTAGCATTACAATTTGTGGATGAAGGTGCTGCTAAACAATGCTTTTAATACAACAGACTCTTGGCCTTGGTCCCCCTGCAGCGGCTACATACAAGGTCTAGGAAGACACAGTTCCTGTCTTTGAGATGTGCATGTCTGGTCTCAGATATAGATGATGCCTAAAGCTGAAGTAAAAGTGGACTCCAGCTCATAAATTTCCAACCATCTATTTTCATATTGTAAGGTAAACTCCAAAAACTTGAGAAACCAGGAAGATCCTTCTTTATCCCTTTCAATAATGTAATTAATGGGCTATGTACAGTGCCTGGCAAACAATAGGTGCTCAAGGAAAATTAGTTTTCTTCCTCCAATTCTCTTTATCACTTTTTACGCTTCCTGTTTCACTTACTCTACCCTGGACTCAACTTTCAAAGATGAATTGGCCAGAAGATGGAAGCCAGTAATTCTGGAGATGTATATTCTACAACTGTCTCCCAAATCCTGCCCTTCACTGTGGTTGATGTCAAAATGCATTTGAACAAACAAGCTGTTTGGAAAGTTTTTTTTTTTTTTTTTTTTTTTTTTTGAGGCAGGGTCTCACTCTGTCACCCAGACTGAAGTACAGTGGCATGATCACCCCTTATTGCAGCCTTGAACTCTTGGGCTCAAGTGATCCTCCCGCCTCAGCCTACTGAGTAAGTAGCTAGGGGCTACAGGCATGTGCCACCAAGCCCAACTAATTTTTAAATTTTTTTTGTAGACACAAGGTCTTGCTACATTGCCCATGCTGGTCTGGAACTCCTGGCTTCAAGTGATCTTCCCACCTCAGCCTCCCAAAGGAGATTTTTTTAAATAAACAAATGATTAACTTTCCATTCCAGTACTGGAATACTGATTAAAAACTTATTTTGAAGTAGAACAAAAATGCAGGTGGGGGATGGGAGAAGAATTTCATGCCAGGATAGCAAAGTAAGAGAGAGAATCATCTAATTTCTCTTAGTTGCCTGTAGACACACTTAAGGGGGCTTAAGTATGGACTGACAAAGATGAATGAACCTCCTTATTGTTGCATTAATAGGATAGTTAGAGTTAAGGATCAGTGAGCATTTATTCTTATAATAAAAGCTTTCTTTAGTTTTCCATATAAATGTACTTCTTTGTATAATAGTATCTGTGTAGTAATCATAAGTGATGCTTAGCCTACACGTCTGAGTGATTAGGGAATAGTTATAAATTTTTATATGCATATATCTATATCTCCACATGGATATAGCCTTCCTTCCTTTCACAGGTGGTTCATAAAAGGGTTGTAATAGAAAAGATCCACTTCAAATGAAAGGTTGAGCTGTTATCTCTAGATTGAGAGCGATCACAGAGATTAGCCCCTTGCCCTGAGTAATTTATAAAAAGCAAATGAGGAGCTGGTGGCCATGAAAATAAATATAATTAACCCACTTAGAAAAACCTTCGCCCTTGCTACAGATAGTTTCTGCTTGATCAGGATGACTGTAATAACACACAAATAAATTAAGAAAAAGATTCCAAGATTTTAAAGTTTCTTTCTAATTTCTTCATAAATAATTGAACTGTAGAAGAATAGGCCCATTTTTCAAACTCTGAATAAGCACCTCTTGTATATGAGTCAGTTCATAATTTTTGCACAGATGTCACACTCCACAGGATATAAAAACAAACTAAAGATAGCCAGCCATATAATGTGTAGATATATCATCGTTACAGATGCTCAGTAGAGCTTGGGCAGTTTTTTTTTTCCAAAACAAATCTCAAATCTACATATTTTGAAGATATAAATTCCTCATTTGTTATTCTTGGACATGTTCTTTATTTTTTTAAAGTGAATTTTTATAAAGTTTCAGGCCCACAAAGCTGGCATGCAACTGACACGGCTGGAAGAGCATCCCTACACAAAGAAGATACAACAAAGACAGGCAGTGTGTTTTTCTGACACAGCCTATGAGAGCCTGCTTAGTGAGAACTAACTGCATCCTCTCCAATTAATTCAGGCTTTTGGCTCAGCCATTTGTAGTTCGGTACCCTGACAAAGAATCTGCAAATGTTACCAACACATGTGATTTAGTGCAAATCTTCCTTTCGGGGTCTGGAACATACAACAGTGCATCTCTTAGAGCTGGGTAGAAGGAGGAAAAATCTTTAATAGACTACATACAACAATGCATCTCTTAGGAACTGAGTGGAAGAGGGGGAAATCTTTTATAGATGGTTCTTCCAGTTGGTTCACACACATGATTCATTTGAGCTCTCTCAGCGGGCTGATGAAATTATGTGACTGCTGCTGCTCCACTATATTTCTATGACAGTCTAAACAGAGGGTTGAGTAAGGTTAAGGTGGTTCTCTGGGAATTCTGGGGACAGCTGGTTTACAAAAAGAATGTCAAATATTGATCATAATCCTTTCCTCAGAGAGCACCCTAAAAGGGAGGGTCCAGCTGGAGGTTTCATTTTGGTGGCAGAATACTGTTCTTACAGGGAGTTTGATAGCCTAGGTTTGAACCCTGACTCTATTACATCTCAGTGTACGACTCTGAGTTATTTCACTTTCTAAGCCTCAGTTTTTGCATCTGTAAAATCAGGATGATAATGGTACTTAGCTTTAAGTTATTGTGAGGATTAAATAAATAATGCAGGTAAAGTGTCTGGCACATAGAGCTTAACCCTTGTTTTTATTGTTGACATTTTGCACATTACTCGGAACCCTTTTCTGCAAGGTCTGTGGGAATCACAGGAAACAAATAAAGGGAAGCATTACTTCAAAGGGAAGGAAGTAAACCAGGGAGCCTGTCACATCCAGCAGTGACATAGGTTAAAAAATACACAGGAAATTCTTTGCCAATCAATGTATTAATAATAGTATTAATAACAATATAATGGTAATGGTAGTAGCTAACATAAATTTTATCTCATTTACTTATTAAATCAAACCAATATTTTATGAAGTGATTCCAGTATTGGAATAAAAATGTAATTCTTTAATCATTAAAAAATCTTTATGAATACCTTACATCAACTGTAGGGGACCAACCAGGGAAAAGCAGGGAGACTTGTAGAATCTACACCTCCAGAACAACCGACCTCCATCTTCTGGACAACTCGTCTTCTAAAGTGCAGGACAGACTAGTTGGGGGAGAAAGGAGGAAATGAAAGAGATAGACTAAAAGGGAGGGAGAGAACAGATATTTTTTAAGTACCTGTTATGTTCTGGATACAGCACAGAGTACATTGTATCTATTATTATAAGGCATAAAGAAAGATTTCTCAGGTTTTTGGAGTCAGATTGCAATATAAAATAATAGACAGAAATTGAAGACAAATGGAATAAGCATTTCCTCATGTAAACCCTAAGCTATCTCTGTAATTTAGAATGTGGGACTAGATAGACTAGAGATCCAATATATTATACTAATTCTTTAGTACTTCTTTCCTGTTCTGAAATTCTCACAGAAGTCAGTGAGCAGATGAACCTCTTCACCAAATCTGTTTGACAACTACTTTCTGTGATGTCATGAGGCAAATTACAATTTATTATGTTATTATAAATGTTAGGAGTAACATGGACGTGTTAGACATTTTTTTTCTTCTATTTTCTCTCCTACCTTCTTTAATCCCTTAACTTCTTCCTTTTCTTCTCTACACCTACCTACCTTCCCTCCCTCTCTCTCTCTTCCCCTCTCTCCCTCCCTTGTTCCTTCCCTCCCTCTCTCCCTCCCTCTGTTCTCAGTAATTAAAAACTAGATAGAATAGTTTTTCAGGTTATATCCCTGACTTTAGTCATCACACTTATTATCACAAAATTTGATTTTTTGTAACTATTCAGTAATCATTTCTTGTTATTGTACTAGAGATATACTTTCCTAATCAGAATAAATTCAAGGATACCCAAACTACAATAGGAAGAAATTGGTTAATGAATGTGATATCCATATTTATTGTTCCCTATGTAGGCTTTTTCCTCTGTTATGGATTCTAGAATGTCATACACAAAAAAAGGCTGCAGAGAGATTTCATATCTGAAGTGAAGTTAATTTTAACAGATGTAAGTAAGGTCTCTACACTACAAGATATGGATTCCTATTTAAATTTAAAAATCCCCCAAATATGAACTGACCACTTCCCCTAAACAAACTTTGTCCACTATAATTTTGGTAGACTCAGGTTAAACAGAATTTTCTCTACATATTATAAGTTACTTGGATACATATGAATTAAACTTAGTAATAATACTTTGCTGTTAATATTAAACCTTGAATTTTGAAAAACAATTCTAACTGAATTTGCCCTTATTGAATACTTCCTATAAAAAGTGACAATGCTTATGGTGCCGACAGCTGGAAAGCCTCTTGGGGATGTACCAGTCTGCAATAAATGAAAAACTCTTTTAGACTGAATTTTAGTTGTGTATTGTTATTTGTCTTAGAATTCATTTATTAGTCCAGAGATAATGTGACAGTTGACTCTTACAGTAACACAGTACTCATTAGCTAGCCTGACAGGGAGGTGCCAACATCCGCTGGAGACTGTATTTTATTAATCTTCATGGCTCATTTGGAAGCCTGGCTGGCTATCTTGTAATGTGCCCTCGTGCTGACTGGGACTGGGATATGTAGCCATGCTTATGACTGAAAAATATAAACTTGCATGATAAGATCTTTCTCCTTTCTCTGACCTGAAATGCAGAAATCTAGTAAAGCCCAAGTGGAATGCTGTAGCATCCAATAAAAATTTCTTCCTGAGAATCCGTAGCATTCCTTCTAGATGCTAAGGACCATTTGCATTTAAAGCTACTCAGTGCTTGGTTGGTATACAGTTGTCCCTTGGCATCCATGGGGGATTCGTTCCAGGGCCCTCCGAGAATGCCAAAATTCATAGAGCCTCAAGTCCTTGATATAAAATGATGTTGTATTTACATATAACCTATGTATATCCTCCTGTATTCTTCAAATCATTTCTAGATTGCTTATAATGCCTAATACAACATAAATGCTATGTAAATACTTGTTATACTGTATTGTTTATGGAATAATAAGAAAAAAATGTTGTACATGTTCAGTACTGATGCAACCATTATTTATTTGCCCAACTATTTTTGATCTGTGGTTGGTAGGATCCACAGATGTGGAACCCATGGATATGGATGGCCGACTATATATGCCAAAATGTGAGCAAGATTTAATTAAGTTTAAGGTAAATTTTTGAATGACTTGAAAGTATAGTTTGCCATCATATTTTTGTCTCTCAATTTTTTTTTAGTGATAAAAATTGGCTTCTGAATTGATCCAGATTTTCTTCAAATGTATTAAATTTTCATAAATCATGGCCTTTGGGTCTTTGAAAAATCTTAGGTTGTGTTTGAACAAGTTAAACTAAACATCATGACTCACAGCTTCCAATGCTCTTGCGTAGCTGACATTTTTGTTTTCAGTTGGATTTTTGTTATGAGTATATTTGGGATTTTATTGAATTCTTTACCACTTATATAGAAATCTCTTATATAGTAGTTGCCTATCAAAAATGATTTTCATAAATATTTTGAAAGAAGGTTGAAACATCTCCAAATCATCAAACTTTAGCGACTTTCTGGACACATGAGTTTCTATTTGGTTACTAAATCTCTACATATAATATCCTAGGTGTATATTTCTACTGGAGTTTTCACTTATTTCTTACCAATTCAAATGTATTTTACTTCATATTTACTGAAAATAGATTTGATTTGGATGTTTTCTTTGGCACTACACTAATAAGGCTAATCAAGATGAGATTCCAAGGCTTAAAAAAATGAAATCAACATGTGGTTTAATTCTCACTACTAATACTACCCTGAAAGACTGTTAAGCTTCTGATAGAAAACAATAAAAAACAAGGAAATTCACTGTTAAAACGGCAGCATACCATATGTCCTTTAATACCTAATTACAACAGGGGCACAATAAGAAAGTCATTAAACCTGCACCCTATTGTGCATAGGTATCAGAGCGCATATGGTGCATTTCAGCCATTAGTATGAATTTGATTGCATCTGTGATTTTCTGTTACAACTTTGACTGTATTTTCAAAAAGAAAATGTTGGTAGACATAATGGTCATTGAGAAAAATTGCCAACAATGAGAAATGGGACCATTTTTACCCCTCTAGAGATAGGTTATTATAAATTGCATAAAGGCCTACTAACAACCTTGTTTTCTCTTCTGACTTTCAATGTCTTTTGGTGTAATATTTTCCTCACTGAAAATTTCCCATTCAAACAAATTATTTTTACTTGATAGTTGAGAGAATTTGATTCTGAGTCCTAGCAAAATATGCATTTCTCACTAAATATTGCCTGTAATGTTATAAATTTACATGTCTACATATAAAACATTATAGATAATGAAAAGGACCACCATATTTATACTTTATATTATGAAGATGGAATTAATAGTGCTGTATAAATGGGATATTCAAAATTGGTAATATTTTTCCTAGGGCATGGCTACAAAGCCCCCTGTATCTCTATCATCTATCTGTCTATCTTTTTAATGCAAATATTAGGTATGGAGGATCAAGGATTAGTAGAATAAAGGCATCGGGTCCATTTATCTCCATATCTCTAATGCCTAACTCGTAATATAGGCAGGTCCCTGACACATTTAGATGCATGATAAACATAATTTGGTTTGAATTAGATTTATATAATTTACTTGTATTTCATTCATTCATCCATTCATTTTTTTTTCAATATTGAGCACTTTCTATTTGCTGTGAACTGTCTTAAGTTCTTGGAACACAGTGATGTAAAAAACAAATAAGCCCTCAGCCACCATACATTCTACTAGAGAAAAATCAGCAAGGCAAAAATAAATACAGTTTTTCAGCTGAAGGATAAGTACAATGTAGGAAAATAATGCAGTGAAGGGGGAAAGAGTGTACCAGGGGCTGTGGGTAGGAATTCTGTTGCTTCTTTGCTCTAGAGCCACATGACAATTAGGGTGCAGGGAGTGAGGGACTAGCTGGGAGTCCTGGGCTTCATGTGACCAACGTAAAAAGGGATAAAGGGGGCCAGGTGTGGTTGCTCATGCCTGTAATCCCAGCACTTTGTGAAGCCGAGGTGGGTGGATCAAAAGGTCACGAGATCGAGATCATCCTGGCCAACATGGTGAAACCCCGTCTCTACTAAAAATACAAAAATTAGCTGGGAGTGGTAGTGTCGGGCCTGTAGTCCCAGCTAGTCGGGAGGCTGAGGCAGAATTGCTTGAACCTGGGAGGTGGAGGCTGCAGTGAGCCAAGATTGTGCCACTGTACTCCAGCCTGGTGACAGCAAGACTCTGTCTCAAAAAAAAAAAAAAAAAGGATAAAGGGCAAGTGAGACTCATCCTGATGGTTTCAGGGCAGACAGTAGGTGCAGAGGTGCTGGGTGTTAGGAAACAAAAGGATA